>NC_000012.12:100793461-101096491 GCF_000001405.40 Homo sapiens | reverse complement strand
CCCTCTCAACTCCCTCTCTTTCCCTCCCCACACACACAGGGTGGGGACGCAGGAGTCCTGAGGAGGCTGCAGGAGACTCCAGTTTACCCACGGATGGCGTGTGGTGGAACAGACCACTCATAGGATCCTCAAGCTCACAGACCAGACCCAACAAGGGTCTCATGAGAAGTGGCTATGGAAGAATCTGATAGAATTGAATACCTAGACTGTTCCACTCTTACAGGATACCTGGAGAGCCAGCAGCATAGACAGCCAGGCTGTCGAGGCCTCATTCCCAGTCGTGGCTCTCTGCAGTAGCCTTTTCTTTTCCTCTTAATCTATGCAGGCTTAGTTCCTCCCAGCTCCAAAGAGTTCCTTGGTCTCAACTTCTAGTTCTCATATTATACCAACCTACTGCTTAAGAGGGAGTCAAATGCCTATCATAGAAGGCTAAGAGCATTTGACTCATTTGCTTTTACCCTTATCCCCCATTTTCCATTCTCATGGACAAATATCAAGGAGGTGGCATCATCTTTAGAGGTTTTAATTCATATCACCATCTGTGTCTTATAATTTCCTGACCTCAGTCAGGGGCCAATCTCATCTCCATATATTTCAACTTCCATAAAGCAAATGTTCTCTGGACATAATGGTGTGAACCAAAACATGGATCCATTTGCCCTTAAGATCAAATCTCCAGCTAGAGATCTCATGTCGAATGAATTTATCCTTTCACAGGAGCTACATTCTATGAGCAAGCAATGTCTAATGAAATGTATTTAATACAGTAGCATTTTGTCTGCTTCCACATTCCCTGAGTGTCTGATTTCTCATTTAATACTTCATTTAATCAATTCATTTCCACAAATTATAACTCAAAATGCTTTTAGGGAGCATGTCTGAGAAGGGAAGGGAGAATGAAAGTAAATCTGATTTAAAATGGTTTAAAATGTCAGTTTTAGGACAAGGCCATACTGTTGCGGAGGGCCAAAAAGACACAGGATTCTTAAAGGGTTTTCTTA
This sequence comes from Homo sapiens, assembly GCF_000001405.40. NCBI lineage: Eukaryota > Metazoa > Chordata > Mammalia > Primates > Hominidae > Homo > Homo sapiens. The sequence continues at coordinate 101,095,490 of NC_000012.12, read as the reverse complement.
AAGGGTTTCACTTCTGCTACTGAACTCCTGGTTACATGGAAAGGTCTCCTGGTCACCAGCTAGGTTCCCAGGTGTCCCCACCGTGGATGGACCAGGACTGTACCTCCAATGGCATTTCTGCTAGCCTGGATCAAGCTACCACAGGGTACATTGTCTACCAATGGGCAGTTACCTCTTCCATGGACATAAACCTCTTCTATCTTTTTGGGCAAGAACTGGTGGTGATGGAAGATTTCAATGACATTAAAAGAGATAAGGTAAAGTGCCTAGCTCTGTATCCAGCTCATAGAAAGTTTCAGTAAATGCTATCTGTTGTCAGAATGATGAATAAAAATAGGAACACTTTTGTGAGTTTTTTCTCCTCTGGACAAGCTTCTTATGGAATGCATTAAAGCAAGTTGTGGACGGGAGCATGTAATTTTCTCAAACTGCATGGAGCACAATGACCAATACCTTGTTAATAAAATTGGGACAATTTCTTTATTTTGAAAATGTGATAAATGTACAAGTTATTACTGGTTACCAGATTGTTCTGGAGTGCAGTGGCATGATCATGACTCACTGCAGCCTTGACCTCCTGGGCTCAGGCAATCCTCCTGCCTCAGCCTCTGGAGTAGCTGAGACTACAGGTACATGCCACCATGCCTGGCTAATTTTTTAATTTTTTTGTAGAGACAGGGTCTTGTTATTTTATCCAGGCTGGTCTTGAACTCCTGGACTCAAGGAATCCTCCTGCCAAAGCTTCCCAAAGTGCTGGGATTACAGATGTGAGCCACCATGCCTGGCCTTCCAGTCTTCAAAGAAACTAACTTTGCTGTGAGTTTATATACCATAAAAACTTGATACATTTTTAATTAAACAAAAATTATAGGCAATAGCAAATGAACACTTTCCTAAATTATACTGGATACTTTATACAAATGTACTTTTGTAATGCTATTTTTTGTGCATGAAGAGAAAATCTACCTTAAATTACATTAGCTCATGACAGATAATGTTTGTGACAGATTTTAAAGATTTATATAGAAAAATTACTAGACATATTTAAATTATTCTGTTGAAGGCAAAGAAAAAACTTGTTGTATGAATTTTAAAATAAAGGGACTATTTCTTTCCAGCAGTATTAGAGAAAGGAATCTTTGAACCATACTCTCTAGCCCACAGTACAGTTCTATGAAATAGAAAGGATTCCACTCACCTAAATTCGTCAGAAGCAGGGCAACTTTTTCATAGAGCTGTAAAATAAATTTCATGCATTTAATAAATGAACTGCACGTATTATAAAATCTATAATCACAAAGGAAATAGGGAGTCAAATCACGAGTCAAAATAATTTCATTAAGCATCCATTGCTCAACCAATGAAAACATTGTGTATAGAAATCTCAGACTCTTGGAGTCCATTGGTAATGGAGATTAGCGTAATTTTCAGGGCAAGAAAGAAATGTACAAGGTCCTATCTAACTATTTATAAAATCTCACTTCTTATTTTGGGGCGAATAATTTTATGGCAACAAGGCTAGCTGCTATTCATTACCAGCTTTCTAGGCAGTGCTGGGTAGTCATAATATTGCTGAACCTCTGCATCTTGAACGTAAAATCTCTAAGCCCGCTTCTGATGGTAAGATCCTGCAATCCTATTCTTTATGGACTGCTGTAAACTCTAGATTACAGCATTCAAAAGCACTGAAGTGATTAAACATTACTGGAAATTCCCAGAGCTTATGGTACTCCACTTTTCCATTGGTGGACCCGATGCCTCCTTAACTCACGCATCCTTAACTCACCCAGCCATCTGGTCAATAGATGGTTCTGAGGGTGGGGTACATGTATGCATGTGTGTATGTGTGTTTGTGTGTGCGTGTGTGTACCAAGGAGCAGAGAGTATAGTCTAGGGTAAATCCAGCTCTAGGAAATTCCCCAGAGTGGGTATAATTGAAACATCAAGTGCTGTTTCTAAAACAAAAGACGGTAAGTGAAAATGAAAAGGAAAAGTAGTTTAATAGACTGGAACAATATGAAGATTAAGAACACATTTAGATGAAAGTAGTAAAAACACACTGGTTAAAATTGCCCAGGCTGGAATTACAGCTTGACCATCCAGCAAGCTACAGGACTTTGGCAAGTTCCTTATCTCTTCTTCAGACCATCCTTTTCTTTATATGTGGGCAGGATGGGTATTGAACTTACTGACCTTCCTGTCCTGCTTAATTTTTGAATTCTCTTATCTGAGATTTCTGCTAATTACAGAAATAAACAACATAATCTGTATGTATGACTCCAAACTTTCAGCAACAATTATGGTTTGCTATATTAGGATATATTAATATGGCATAGGAACAAATCTTATGTCTAGAAATCTCAGACTCTTGGAGTCCAGTGGTAATGGAGATTGGTGTCATTTTCCATAAGAAACCTTGTGACATAGGTTAGTCATACCCATTTGATCATAAAAACAAAATCCTAGTAAACAACAGATAAGAACAGATGTTCTAATCAAATATATTTTAATATTACAATGTATTACGAAGGCATTATAACATTACAATTATTTAATTATGTAATTATCAGGGAAAATTAATTTGACTGATGAGACAACCTTTCTCAAAAATACAATTCTTGATTAACTGGTTTATCTTTTATGTCTTTCACAATGATGTGTAGGTCACAGTACCTCACTTTGCACACTTGTCTAAAAGGCCCTCGGAGCTGAGGATATGCCTTTGTTACATGGGTGTGAACACTGAAAACATTGTAATTTTAAAAAAAGGAACAACATAAGAGTCAACATATGAGTAATATTAACCTTGTGAAAAATAAGGTAAAGCATACAGGGACACAGTAGGGATCCATGGCATCTGTGACTACTTCATATATATGCTGAAGGATATACATATAAGGATATGGACTGTGAGACATTGGACAGGATGCAGGAGGGAAGGGCACACACACAGAGGGACTCACAGCCGCTCAGAGATCTCCACATGAGTGGTTTCTGGAAAAATGTCTGATTTCTCATTAGACGGTTGAGAGATAAACCACGGGAAGTTTGTTCTGCTAAGAGCAGTGGAAAATCTAAGTTTCCAAACTGGATGCTGCAAATTCTCATTGTGAATATCTGTAACCGGCAGAAAGCTTTCTGATCTTACAGATATGTCCAAAAGGAAGCTGTGTGTACTTCTACTTTTATCTTGCCAGGCTGATCAATAAATGTGGACTTGCTCTGATGCAAGCTATATTATCTGGTGTACTTTTACTTTTTTTTTTTTGGAAGATGAGATGTGTTTATAGTATAATTAAATATCTGATTCAGATTGGCATGGCTGGATAAAAAGGATGATAATAACTTTTTAGTCTATTCCTGGGATATAGCCTTTGTTGGCCTATTTGGCTTGCAACCACCATATTGGGATGTTTTTCGGTCACTAGTGAAGCAGAACAGAATTGAGACAATATGATCGGGAACAAGAAATTCCATCCTATTCACTTCTATTCACTCTATCTTTGAAATATTTATTTTTCAAGACACGGAATAAAATGTGAACTACTAAGTGCCCCTTAACCAGCCATTAAGAGGCATAATATTTCATTAGGACCTAGAGGGCTTTTGTAAAAATAATATAAATTTTAAAGTAAATACTATATAAAAATATTTTAGTTATTTTAGTTAGCACTGGACAAATCTAGCAAAAAGTCAGAAATGGGATATGTGATTTATAATAATTATTAAAAAATCAGAGTCTTTAATCTAGCTCTCAAGGTTTTTATATTTAGTTGATAAAAATTATTAATAATTAATGTCTAAATAATGATTACCTTTGGAAGAAAAGTATGGTCAATATGTTAAGTAGTTGAAAACAATAGACAGCTGTAAAAAATCTATATTGGGTCACGATAATATCTCACATTGAGTAATTTCAGAAGCCACTGGAGAGTTTACTTCTGAACTGGTCAAAGCTATATTACAACCTTTAGTCTGTCATCCCTTATGCTGATAGAAACGACTTAAAATTTTTTTAAGATGTTCTGATGAAACCATTCCAACTATATTACACATTTGGTTGCCCTCATAATGGTACCCACAAAACCTCAGGGGACAGGAGTGTAAATGTGTGTGCGGGGATGAGACATCATCACAGATAGCTGAGGAGGGTAAGATAACTGGCCCCTGCACAAAGAGGTCCTGGTTGATGCTGCTTTTAGAGTTCTTATGTACATTTTTTCTTTTCTTTCCCTCTCTTTGCTATGGCTTGTCATTCCCTGTTCTCATCAGTATTCTTGCGTTAGCAACCTTATGTTATTCTAGTTTGATGTTGGCTGAAAATCAGAGTACCAAAGATGTTCATGTTATATCTAAAATAAATGAAAAACCACAAGGGCATCCCTAAGAATAATATGTGTTAGCTTTCGAGTGTGAACTCTACCTCATCCATGTTGGCTAGTCTAAAACACTCTGGGAGACAAAAGATGTAAAATGCCTAGCAGCCTAGCTCCCAGCATATAGCAGGTGCTTTGTAACATCAGCAACTACGTACTTTTGCCACTCCCTATGCTCCCGTCTTCATTTTGAATTTGTTTACTTCCTCTTATCTAGGCTGTGTCTTGAAATAGATATTGCTGGATCAATGATTTCCAGTTAAATGAAGTGTTTTACTCTGACAACACTGGCACCTGCTCGAAACATATGGGCAAGTGTGTATTTACAGATTCACTTCCTGTACATAGGCATTTCTTTCTTTCTTTTTTTTTAATTTAAGTTCTAGGGTACATGTGCACAATGTGCAGGTTTGCTACATATATATACATGTGCCATGTTGGTGTGCTGCACCCGTTAACTCGTCATTTACATTAGGTATATCTCCTAATGCTATCCCTCCCGCCTCACCCACACCCCCGGCAGGCCCTGGTGTGTGATGTTCCCCACCCTGTGTCCATGTGTTCTTATTGTTCAATTCCCACCTATGAGTGAGAACATGCGGTGTTTGGTTTTCTGTCCTTGCGATAGTTTGCTCAGAATGATGGTTTCCAGCTTCATCCATGTCCCTATAAAGGACATGAACTCATCCTTTTTTATGGCTGCATAGTATTCCTTGGTGTATATGTGCCACATTTTCTTAATGCAGTCTACCATTGATGGAGATTTGGGTTGGTTCCAAGTCTTTGCTATTGTGAATAGTGCTGCAATAAACATATGTGTGCATGTGTCTTTATAGCAGCATGATTTATAATCCTTTGGGTATATGCCCAGTAATGGGATGGCTGGGCCAAATGGTATTTCTAGTTCTAGATCCTTGAGGAATCGCCACACTGTCTTCCACAATGGTTGAACTAGTTTACAGTCCCATCAACAGTGTAAAAGCTTTCCTATTTCTCCACCTCCTCTCCAGCACCTGTTGTTTCCTGACTTTTTAAGGATCACCATTCTAACTGGTGTGAGATGGTATCTCATTGTGGTTTTGATTTGCATTTCTCTGATGGCCAGTGATGGTGAGCATTTTTTCATGTGTCTGTTGGCTGCATAAATGTCTTCTTTTGAGAAGTGTCTGTTCATATCCTTTGCTCACTTTTTGATGGGGTTGTTTGTTTTTTTCTTGTAAATTTATTTAAGTTCTTTGTAGATTCTGGATATTAGCCCCTTGTCAGATGGGTAGATTGTAAAAATTTTCTCCCATTCTGTAGGTTGCCTGTTCACTCTGATGATAGTTTCTTTTGCTGTGCAGAAGCTCTTCAGTTTAATTAGATCCCATTTGTCAATTTTGGCTTTTGTTGCCATTGCTTTTGGTGTTTTAGTCATGAAGCCTTTGCCCATGCCACACAGGCATTTATTTGTTAAGAAGATGTATAAATTAAATTTTAAGACATTGGAGGAAATAGATGATAACAATATAGTAGGCATTAATTCATTGCATCCTAATGGGATGCAAAACATTTCACCTATGGCTGTTTGGTTAATTTCACTAGGAATCACTCTCTACCTACAATGTGTATTCCACAGTTAACACAGACCGAGTCCTGGTGGGGGGTCAAAAGGGGGAGGTACAGGAAGTGCTAACCATCTACTTTCAATCTCCACTTGCTAAGCTGTCGCACAAACATCACGTCAAAATGATCAGCAACTGCCCTTTTTTTTTTATTACTTCTGAGTCTTGAAACTTTTTTCCTAAAATAATAAAGATGTTTTATGTATTTTAATACTAATAATGAGCTACCTGCATTTAATTAGCTCATTGATTACTAGTTAACCTAGTGATCATAAATTAAGTTCTTTGTTATTGGGTAGGTTGAATTCTCTTAGGAATCACTCAAGTTTTATTGGTTATGGAACTCAGGATTGTTTAAAGAACTAGAAATGATAAGCTACATAGATAAACCTGTATGGATAATAGTATTAAATTAGTTGGCCTTTGGAAAATCTTTTTTCAAAGATGTAAGCATTTCAGCATTATGGCCCAGATTTAAGACGCAGTATAAATAAGGATAGGGGAACTATAATTAATTGAACATCTACTCCATGCCTAACAACTGTCCTTGGCACTCTATGTACATTGTTTTACTTATTTACACTACAAACCTTTAAGGTCAGCTTTTAAAATTTTTTTAATTTTTTACAGGTCCTTGCTCTGTTACCCAGGCTAGGGTTCAGTGGTGCAATCATGACTCACTGCAGTCGTGAACTCCTAGGCTCAAGTGATCCCCCTATCTCAGCCTCCCAAGTAGCTGAGACTACAGGTGTGCCACCTGGCTAATTAAAAAAAAATTTTGTTTGTAGAGATGGGGTGCTGGGATTACAGGCATGAGCCACAGTGCCTGGCCATATTTTTATGTATAGGTTGACCTCAGCAGCCGACCATGTCAGGCACTACTTTTGTTCTACAAAAAATAGCAACAACAATTTACACAGCATCTACTATGTGCCAGGCCCTGTTCCAGACACTAGGGAATAACAACAGTGAAAAAAAAATAAACAAACAAACAAAATAAAGAAAAGCTTCTGCCCTTATGGGCCTACATTCCAAAAGAAATGGCAGATAAACAAAATAAATAAGTAAAATATATAGCATATTAGATGGTGATAAATGCTATAGAAAAAACACAGGCAAGCAGATGGGAAATTGTCAGATAGCAGGAGTGGGCTGCAATTTAAAACAGAGTGACCAGGGAAGCATTTACTAGAGAAGTGACATTTGAACAAAGACTGGAAGGAGGTGAGGGACTAAGCGATGCAGACCCTGTGGGAGGAAAAGGCTCCAGGCAGAGAGAACAGCAAATAAAAAAAGTCCTGGGGTGAGAGCATCAAAAGGACAAGTGCGGCTGGAGCAGGTGAATCACAGTGAGTAAAAGAAAAGATGAGGTCAGAGATGTCACACAGACCAGATGAGCGAAAGCCCGTGAGGCCACTGTGTAGATGTGGCCTCGCAGGCTTTTACTGTGAGAGAGAGGAAAGCCACTACACCTTGTGAACACAGGAGCCATGTGAACTGACTTACATGTAAGAAGCTCTCTCTGGCTTCCATGTTGAGCCTAGATTGAAGGGAGCAATGTGAAAGCTGGGAGACCAGTTAGGAAGCTGCTGCAATAATCTCGGCAAGAGACACTGCAGACTTGGACCAGGGTGGGACTTCGGGATGTGCAGAAAGTGATCAAATTCTGGATACATTTAGACAGCCAGAGAAATAGAGGAGTCCAGTAGAATGCCACGACTTTTAGTCTGGGCAAGTACAATTAGGAAGGCTGTGGGAGGAGCTGATTCTGGAGGGAAGATGAGGAGTTGGGTTTGAAAGTGTTAGGTGGAGATGGTCAAGCAGGCAGTTTAACGTGTGAGTTTGGGGATTCAGGAAAGAAATCTGGGCTGAAATATGCTATCTGAAAAAGCCTGGAAATCAACAAAAGCAATATGTACCAGCTTGGCGGTTTCCTTGCAGGGTTATATCAAGGAATGCTTTGGTTTTTGTTTGTTTTTGTGTTTTTTTGAGACAGGGTCTCCCTCTGTCACCCAGGCTGAGTGCAGTGGCCCTGTCACTGCTCACTGAAGCCTTCACTTTCCTGAACCAAGTGACCTTCCCACCTCAGCCCCACAAAGCAGCTGGGACTACAGGGGCACACCACCATGACCAGCTAATTAATTTTTTTTTTTTTTGTAGAGACAAGGTCCCACTATGTTACCTAGGCTGGTCTTGAACTCCTGGGCTCAAGCGATCCTCTGGCCTCAGCATCCCAAAATGCTGGTATTATAGGCATGAGCCCCTGTACCTAGCCAGGAATGCTTTGGATACTGTCTATCTTCCTATCATTGATAATCAAAAAGAAACAGGAACCAACATTGCAATGCTGTGTCACAGGTTCTGAGTGTTCTAAATTCTTTCTCTAAATTTACTTAAGGGGTTCACAATATAATCTTATTGGATAAATAAGGGAACTAATGTTCAGAGAGGTTATGTGCTTTGCCCAATCTTATACTGCAGAAAAGCCCGGAGTCTAGATTTGAATCAAGACTTTTAAGCACTCAGACCCAAGTGCATCTTCATGCCAGGCACTTCGCTGCCAGGACATCAGTGCTATGTGAATGGCCCACCTCTCTGAGGCCAGATCCCCTTAGCAACAGAAGAAAACTGTCACTTGCAGCCCACACATTTTGATCCGTTTGGCTAGCCACTGCAGCTCACTTACCACATTCAGCAACATAATGATACAGAAGTTGATGCACACAGCAGTCCCTGTGGTTGCAACCTGAGAGTTATTCCTGATTAACGCCCACTTAAAGGCAGCGAAAGTGCTGACAGTCACCACCCGGTAAATGACGATCCCGAACACGGCAGCAATCACCACGCAGATCTGGCAGGAAGACAAGACACCCGGTGAACCTCTTGGTGGAATGTTACAGGAAGAGGATTCACATTCCTGGAACATCCTCTGATGGGAAAAGGAAGTAACACCATGGCAGTACTGCTCAAGAGATCACAATCAAATGCATACTTTTCATTGTGGTTAATACTTTCTCTTGCCTTTTTCTATTTTTTTTAATTAAAATAAAAGAACTACACGCTTGAAAGTTGAGAATCTGTGTAAGCTATGGGACAACACTTTTTAATGCAGAATATACATTGAGCAGATGGACAAATATTCATATGGAAATCCTATCATGTCACTCTTCGGTTTAAAATTGTTTATTAGTTTCCTATTATTCTAGGATAAAAGCAAAACCCTTACGCAGCCTGCAAGACCCTCTCTCTAGCCCCTTTGGGCACCATTCTTCCTTCCCTCTGGGGTCCCCACAGCTTCTCTCATTACATCAAACGGGCTAAGCACCCTTAATTGCCAAGACTATTTCCTTTGCCTGTAATACCTACCCACCCAATCTCTTGCCGAACACACACACACACACACACACACACACACACACACACACACACAGCCTAGTTAACACCTACTCATCCTTCCTCACTTCTCAGCTCAAACACCACTTCATAATAAAAGTTCTTCATGACTCCCAGACTATTTGTTTTTCGTGTTGTCATGTGGTAGCCATACCATATGGTTACATCTTTTTCAGGACACTACTTATAATTTCTAACAATCTGTTTGACTATTCTCAGGCTCCCCTACTAGAAAGTAAGCTCCATAAGGACAGGGAAGGAGTCTTTTTTGCTCACATGGTTTCTACAGCACCTTAGCATAATTACAGATGCATAGTAAGTGCTCAGTTATTTGCTGTTGAGTGAACCAACTACGTGATAGGTACATATCTTGTTAATCTGATATTCACACAGACTGAAGCATGTTTCCCTGAAGATTTCATGGCATTTGAGAACAATACAGCATATCTTCTTTCTCTATGAAATGCAGTTGTCCCTCAGTATCCTCATGACGGATTGGCCCAGAACCACCCCCCAACACCATGATACCAAAATCCACAGATGCTCAAGTCCATTCTATAAAATAGTGTAGTATTTGCATATAACCTGTACACAACCTCCTATATACTTTAAATCATCTCTAGATTACTTATAATACCTGATACAATGTAAATGTTATGTAAATAGTTATACTGTATTGTTTAGGAAATAATGACATGTAGCTGTACATGTTCAGTACAGCTACAACTAACCTTTTTTTAAAAAAAATTTCCATCTGTGGCTGGTTGAATTCATAAATGCAGAACCCACAGACACATAGGGCTGACTTTAATGCAAATCTGAGACTCCAAAAAGTTTTGTGACTTTCATTAGATGATTACCTAATATTAACATGTCTTAGAGACCTTAACCCACTTAATTATCAAAGGCTAGACCTTGAAGCCAGGCCTCAGGAAGGCCTCTGCTGATTTAGAGATTCCTTTCTTCACAAAAGTATTCCTGTTTTGCACATAATTTATTTTCTGCTTACTTTTAAGGGAGATATGTTCTAAAAGCTCAAGTACAAGTCCTAGCTCAGACTGGCCAAAATAACAATAAAATAAACAAAAACCTGTCCAGATCTTAATTGTAGTGCTGTTGATCAGGAGACAGGTAAAATCTATGCTGAAATTCAGACAAGGATGGCAATGAGGTAGGATGGACAGCTGGCTGGATTCAAAGTCAGAAGAGAGATTAGAGCCCTAGCTCAGCTATCACCCAGCAGTGTGACCTTGGGCAAGCTTGTCCTTTCCATAGCTCCAGCCTCCTGTGTTCCAAGTTCCCCATCCATAGAACAGGAAAAGCTTAATCTATGTCTATGGGTCTTTGTAAGAAACAATACAATAAATATGAATATGTACATAGAAGGCAAAGCATGACACAGTTGCTTAAAAGCAGTATCTGTAGACAGGCATGGATTTGAATCTTGGTCTGAGCCAAGGAGTCTGGGTAAGCTGCCCAGCCCTTCATCTCCCCAGTTTCTTCACTGGAAAAAGGGAGTAGCCTGTCTGAATTTGCTATAGTCTTGTCCTTCCTACTCTAATGGTCTAGGCATATATTTATATACTCATCATTTGAAAAAAGGAAAGGAGGATCCTAATCATCCTTTACTGTTCTAAAATGACATTTCAGAAACATCTGCATATGTTTTGTTCAGTAATTAACAGTGTTAAAGTTAATTACTAAGACTGCTTTTTAGGAAAAGCTAAAAACTGAGGTCTGTTTTTCAAACTGACATGATCATTAGTGAGTCAGGAAATTAATTTTAGGAGGCTAATCTGTCATTAAAAATATACTATAATAAAACAAAATCAGAGCTTATGCATATTATAAAGGTGAGCACTGTTTTACTTACACTGTTTTATACATCTACTTGCTTGGCATATTCGGGGTTATGACAGAGAATATATTTCTTACTGTATGGGCATGGTGAAAAGTTTGAAAAACACTACTGTACATCCTGTCTCACATTTTTGACTCCTTTCAGCATCACACAGTAGAATATGGCAAGAGGAAAGAATATCAGATTAGAGGGTCTCAGCTCTTAGCTACCTACTGGCTGACCTCGGGCAAGCCCCATAACCTGTTGGAGTCTCAGTTGTTCTATCTGTAATATGGGGATAGCAATACCATCCCTGACCACCAGACGAAGTTACTGTGAGGAATAAATAACAAAGTGCAAAAATATTTTGTAGAACAATGCAAATGCCCAATATGATTACTGTTATTATGCTATAGGTTTGTATTTTATGAAACAAATATTTTTTTAAAAGTTTCAAACCATAAAAAATATTCCAGATGCAGAAACGATAAGTCTGCTGCATTTATCTGTAAATGCTTGATAAGGTTCTGGCTTTCCAGAAATTGGATTCATCCGCTCTTTCTTGGAATACTTGGCTTCAAACTGGGGTCGTATTTCTTCCTAAAGGACAAGCAGACACATTTTAATGCACTAAAGAGGTGCTCACACAATAAAAAAAGAAATATCATTTTACCCCACCATAAAACAGAGTCAACAGCTGCCACACTAATTAGTCAACCAATGAAGTGGGTTTGGGTGCCCAGGCTTAAATGTTTGAAAATTGGCCACTTGAAGAAAATCTAAAGAGTGAAGATCAAGATTTACTATCATCAAAAGCAAAGAAATTTGGACTAACAGTTACATTTATCTGTTATCTTATAAAACTAACCTTGAAGAAAAAACCACCCTGAGAATGGTATTTTAAAAGGGACAAGCTGTCCTGTCCTAATGGTTTGGAACAACTAATAAGCTTTTACTTTTATTACCAGAGAGTGATAAGAAACACCAGGACAAAGAAGGCTTCTCTACAGGAAAATGTTCAAAATCCATTTTGTAAGTTATAATGACAATATAATTCTTAGTTTTCTCCAGCAATTTTTTTTTGCATTTTTAGGTTTAGTTCACTAAAAACATGGTGAATCTACTTTTTAATAAGTTCCTATAGGAGTCATTCATCTTTAACCAATAGACTTTAGGTATATTCTTAATTCTTAATTGAAAACAAGGTAAGCACCTTTCAAAACCAGTTAAAATCAAGGTTCCTCCAATTCTAAATCAAACTGAGATTTTATTTCATTTAGCTGAGCCTCCTGAATGTGAAAAGCTTCTGACTAAAAACCAATTATGAGATTAGGAAAAGGCAATCAGCAAGGGAACCTGATGTGGTTCCCGTTAATTAAGCATGCATTATGTTTGAGAGTGTTGGGAGAGGATGGCAAATGAGCAGAAACTCTGCTGAAATGGAGATTGAGTTAATCCAGGCAGAAATGGTCAAGATTCGGATGAAGGTACTGGCAGAAAGCAAGGAACGAGCTGACAGAAGAGAGGTCATGGAGAGAGAGCCCAGTTTGGCAGCAGCCTGCCCATGTAGCATGAAGGATGGCCTTCACATGGCTCAGCCTGGCTCCTGCCACTGAATTAGCCCAAGGCTGGACTTCCCTCAGGGGTAGGTCATGGGTAAGATCAGCAGGAGATACATTAGGAGCAGGCTCTGTCTTTCATTTATTTTAGGCAGTTATACTTGAGGAGATAAACATAGCAGACCTAGAATCTTCTGCTTCTTTGGGAAACTTTCAATTTATTGGGCCATAAGTGTCATCAAGAGCCCTTGAGCTAGTCATCCGAGAACTAAGGCCAATCATGGAGACAGGTCTGTGTTCCTGGATGTATCTGTCCATTTTCATACTGCTATGAAGAAATACCCAAGAATGGGTAAGTTATAAAGAAAAAGAGGGTTAATGGACAGTTCCACATGGCTGGGGAGGCCTCACAGTCATGGTGGAAGGTGAAGGAGGAGCAAAGACACATCTTACATGGTGGCAGGCAAGAGAGACCATGTGCAGGGGATGTCCCCTTTATAAAACCATCAGATCTCAAGAGACTTATTCACTATCATGAGAACAGCACAGGAAAAACCCACCCCCATGATTCAATTACCTCCCACCAGGTCCAACCCCCAACACATGGGGATTATGGGAGCTACAACTAAAGATGAGATTTGGGTGGGGACACAGCCAAACCATATCGCTGGGTGTTATAGGCCAAATTGTGTCTTGCTTCCCCCAAATTCATCTGCTGAAGTCCTAACCCGCAGTACTGAATGTGACCATATGTGGAAACAGGTTTTTTTTATAGTGGTAATTAAGTTCAAATGAGGTCATTAGGGTGGACCCTACTCCAATATGACTGGTGTCTTTATAAGAAGAGGAAATTTGGACACAGAGACACCCAGGGGGAAGACGATGTGAAGACACAGGGAGAAGATGGCCATCTATAAGCCAAGAAAAGATGCCTAGAACAGATCCTTCCCTGATGGTTCTCAGAAAGAACCAACCCTGCTGACACCTTGGCTTGGACTTCTAGCCTCCAGAACTGTGAGCATGTAAGTTTCTATTGTTGAAGCCACCCAGTCTGTGGTACTTTGTTATGGCAGCCCTGACAAACTAATGTGCGAGGTTGCCCCAGAAGGTCTGCAGCGAGTCTGGGTTTTTCTGCACAATAAGGTAGAAATCATGGGCTAGAAGTGAGGCATTTCCACAAGGAATCCCAAGCTGGGAATGGCTACGTATGTAGGCTCCTGTACAAAGGTATGCAGAGTGAGAGGACAATTCAGCACTCCACGCTTTTTATCAGGGGCTGGGAAGACAGAAGGCTCCACACTTATAAGGGATACATACGTTCCCCAGAAGGGTGCCCACATCAGGGGCCCACCACAAACGCCAACAATGATTGTAGACTGGTTTAGTCAAAGTTACTCAAATAGGGCCACACTTTACAGATAGAAGGGGAAAATTTAGTCCCACTTCTTTTCATTAGAGATTTTTAAAGTCCAAAGGTGAAGTAAATTGCCCAAGGTGATTCCCAGGAAAGAATATTTTCCATCCCACTGGGAACTGTTCCCATGAACACATATAACCAGAAACAGCAGAATGGCACCACACAAGAGGAATTTCTGAATGCAGTCCGGCTGCTACCAATAGATGTCATAGTCAGCCTGGGAAGCTTCTTCAAACCTAGAATATATATGTATACACACACACACACACATACACACACTCACATACATATATATATGTATATTTTTTTTCTAGGTTCTAGATATATATACACATATATATATATGTTTGAAAATTGGCCACTTGAAGAAAATCTATTTATATATATGTATATGTGTATGTATATATATATATATATAATATATATATATATATATCTAGAACCTAGAAAAAATATATATACACATTATTTATTTGAGACAGGGTCTCACTCTGTCACTCAGGCTGGAGTGCAGTGGTGCAATCTTGGCTCACTGCAACCTCCACCTTCTGGGTTCAAGCAATTCTTGTGCCTCAGCCTCCCAAGTAGCTGGGATCACAGCTGCATGCCACCACACCCAGCTAATTTTTGTGTTTTTAGTAGTGATGGGGTTTCACCATATTGGCCAGGCTGGTCTCGAACTCCTGGCCTGAAGACACAGGGAGAAGATGGCCATCTATAAGCTATCCTCAAATCCTCCTCCTGGCCTGAAGTGGTACCCCTTCCTTGGCCTCCCAAAGTGCTGGGATTACAGGTGTGAGCAACCGCACCTGGCCTGGAGAATATTTATAAAAACATGAAAGAAAGCCTTATCAGGAGAACAAGGATTGCTGAAAATCTCAGTGTCATGTATCAAAACCTCCTGTTGTACACCTGAAGTACATTCAAAACCAAACCAAACCAAACCAAAAAACTACCCAAACATGTTCATGGGAGAAGGGGAACAGGCAGCCATTGAGGAGGCATAGTGTGAAGGAAACAAACAACAACAACAAAAATACCTCTCAGAATTACTTCCCCCACCAAGCCTACCACAGGGCTAAAATTCACATCGTTCATATTTCTGAAAGATTCTTTTTTATACATGAAAATATATACATGTGTTCCCTTCAAGGAAAACACATATTAATAGCCATGATCAAAAAACTATTACACATATGAGTGGTTTATCTGATTTACTGGCACAGCAAGGCTCTGAGGAAATGAGACTCAGGAGGGGTAAGAGATAATGAACGAGAGGGAGGAGAGTGGGGCTGAGGCCTGGACCAACTGTCAAGGGAAGCAGGGTCCAAGAGGGGACCGTGGTGACCACGCCTAGTGTGGGTACTTCAGACTTCCGACAGGAATAGGGGCAAGAAGAGACTATTAGAACAAGACAGGTCAGGAGGAGAACAACGGACTGGCCTAGAAGACGCTAAGGGACAGTGGTGGGCTGAGTCTGGCCCTCCTTGGCAGTTTTGTCTAGAGCTGGCCCTCCATTTAACCACGTCTCCCAAGGTGGCCGCTTCAGAGTGGATTGTCCCCAGCACGGAACACTTGATGTCATACTTCAGAGCCTGTGCACACCTGGGCACGGTCCTGGGTGCTGCTCACAGACACACTGCCTTTGGGTAATTCTCTTGGAAGGATTGCTTCCATGTACCTGGAGATGTCAAATGAATGCTCTTTTTCTGCTGAAGTTAGAGAAAAAAGGATGATTTTTAAGAAAATGGAAAAAAAAAGCTACACCACCAATTCTTCTGGTGCCTCTACCTACAAGTGGAATTCTCCACTTAATCAAGGGATTTGATTCCACTAAGGAATCAAAAATTTACAAAAATTGTCAGTCCATTTTTATACTGCTTGAAATTTTCTGAAAAGGCAATTGAAAATGCTTTATGAGTACACCTGACTTCCGTCACAGAACAGAGAGTGACAATTTTGGGGGGGGGTCGTGTGGTTCTGGGTGATTTGCTTTTTACAACATTCTGAGGTAAATGATACAAACCTCCTCTTCTTCCCAGTCTATCAAATCCCAGTCATAAGCAATTACTGCTCGCCGTCTTTTCCAAAACTCCAGGAAAACTGTTGCTGGAACAAGCAGAGAAAGACAAAGACATTTTTGAATAAAAGTAAAACAAGGCTCTTAACTGTGTCACTGAATAATGAAGCCATTGCCAAGAATGACAGTTGTTAGTGTAAGCATCATCGAATATCAGAATTTCCAGCTGAGCTTCATTTCACAAGGACTATTTTCTGAGAATTACTAAGCTTGTGTCAGACATAATGAAAAACGAGAGATTTCACTTAGAATTGAATTAAGCTGATTTACAAGTTGAGGCAGAACAGACTTATTAGAATGACAAATTCTTACATTCTGGGATGTCAGGATTCAGAAAACTGGGTTACCGACATCTATCTAATTGATACAGCATTTATTTTTTTTTATTTTATTTTTTCTATTGCCTAAACATGGGTAAGCAAGCACTTATTTTTTAAAGTGAGAGGCAGGTAGGAGCAGAAAAGTCAAAATGAAACTTGGCAGTTCACATGTATTTGATAGTGATTTCCTGTCCCTTCAAATCCTCCTCACAGCAAATACCTATGTAAAATATATTTTCCTGTTTTACTGGAAGGAGTCCTGTTGTTTCTCTTTTCTCCAAACCATTTCTTTGTTGCCACAATGAGGGTAAAAGTGGGTAAGTCTATTAAGAACTTTCTCCAGTAAGTGCGAGGTGGCTGGCCTCCCCATGCAGAGAAATCTGGGAGTTATCTTCATTCAGCCAAGGTAATTTTCTACTCAATTTAATGAAAGCATATCAACTTAAATGAATTATTGAGCATTATGCAATAAAAGAGAAACAGAGAGAAAATAAGACACACTCCTGCTGCCTTGGAAGGCAAAATGCAAATACAGGGGCACACACACACACACACACATGCATACAGACACACACACACTCTCTCACTCACACTCTGAGAATGACTATAAGGATATAACAGACATACCCTAGGAGAGAGAATGGGTGGATATTTCTCTTTTGGGCCTTGTCATGCAGTTAGACTTACAGAAGGTAACAATAAATATATATTAGGAATCCATTTCATGAAGGAAAGTAAATTATGTAAATGGCCATGTCAAAAAAATATAATTACTTTCTTCTTTTCTATTCTCCCTTGTTCACACATTACTTCCTCCTTAGTAGTATGCAGACACTGAAGACATATTCTTAAAATAAGTAGCTAGAAAGACAGTCTAGAGTGATAGATAAGAGTTCTCGGGCATGTAGCCTAGACAGTCCTAAATTTGAAATCCAGATCAGATACAAGCTGTGCTACTGTTGGCAAATCAATTAACTTTTCTAAGCCTTAATTTCCGGATAAGCAAAAGAAGGAGGGTAATACAGGTCCACAATCCCTTATCTGCAATGCGAAAATTCAAAATGCTCTAAAAATTTTAAGTGTTTTTCCCCTAAGTTTGGCAGAAACTCATCTGGTGGTGAGCCCTGACCTGGACTGATGTGAGGCTACATATAACCTCTATTTATTCTTCTTAGTGAGACTTTTCATGTATTAAAAGCAGCCATACTAATGTATTTGAGTACATTAGTATGTATTCCCCAGGCCTCCTGGGGCATTTAATAATATATGGTATATTCAGTGCCTTCCTAAAATCTGAAAGATTCTGAGTAGTTACAGTTGTTAAGGAAGATACACCTAAAATAATCAAATGTCTTATTCTGGAAGATAGAAATTAAAACAAATATATGTGCTTATCTGTGTCAATGCTGAGCAGCTGTTTTCTACTGGAGTCCTTCCAGTGAGTCTTGCTGTCTCAGGAATCCCCAAGACCATCCCCAGGTTTGATTTACTAGGAAGATTCACAGGACACAGAATACAGTTGTACTGATGGCTAAGATTTATTACAGTGAAACACTATAAAGCAAAATCTGCAAAGGGAAAAGGTGCATGGAGCAAAGTAGGGAGGAAACAGGACAAGCTTCCAAGTCGTCTCCCAGTGAAGTCACACAGGATGTACTTAATTCCTCCCCAATGAGCTGTGACAACACATGTGAAATGCTGTTTGACAGGCAAGCTCGTTAGAAACTCAGTGCCCAGGGTTTTTATTGGGGGCTGGTCACATAGGCACCAGCTGCTTAGCATGTACTAAAATTCCAGAGTTTCAGGGAGAAAGCATAAATTGTATTGTTGGCACATGTAGTTTATGCATCACGAGTTACCCTTAGCAGTCAGGGTGGTGGAAACTGTCTTGAAAGCCAAGTTCCCAGACACCAGCCAAGGGCCACCCTTGCAAGCAGGCCTTTCTAAAGCAGGCCTGCTGTGTTAACTCTTTGCTGCACGCTTGCCCTCTGCCTCACCAAACTGTCTTTGCACAGAGTCCCTGGGATATTTCCTTTATCAGGTCCTCTAGCCCCTCAAGCAAATGCCACTTTATAAAGACTTTCCCTCCTTGGTCTCTAGGGTCTCCCTGTTCTTGAAGAGACAAGTGGCCCAGCCCCTGAATATGTGGCTATTTTCCATAAAAATCACAAAGGTACCTCCATGAGCATAAAGACACTTGATGGGGGACCATTCTGGGACAGCCTCAGGCCATAGGATTCACATCCAGTCTGTCTTACTGGCAGCTGCTGCTCTCACTACGCCCTACCAACCCTCTATGGTTCTCATCTGAGGGAACTGACTTCTAAGATGAGCCAGTGGCTGTCACAATTATTCCATCACCCTTCTTCAGTATTCCTGCTGAATCCTGCCTGGAGGAAACAGAGATTCTAACCATTAATTCCCTGTGTTAGTCTGTTCAGGCTGCTGTAACAAAATACCATAAACTGGGTAGCTTCTAAACAATAGAAATTTATTTCTTACTGGTCTGGAGACTGGGAAATATAAGATCAAGGCACCAGCAGATTTGGTGTCTGGTGAGGGTTGCTTTCTGGTTCTTAGATGGCACCTGCCAGCTGTGCCCTTACATGGTGGGAGAGGTAGTTAGCTCTCTGGGGTCTCTTTTATAAGTACAATAATCCAACCATGATGGCTTTGCTCTCATGCCCTAATCACTTTCCAGAGGCCCCCCTTACTAATACCTTCACCTTAAAGAATAGGATTTCAACATATGAATTTGGGGGAACATAAATATTCACACTATAATATTCCCTTTTTTGGCTAATAATCCTCTCCTTTCTTCCATTATAGTACTCAATAGGAAGAGAAGAAGAAATTAGCTGCTTGTGCAACTGCCATTCCCTTGTCGGTATGTTTGGGTGAAATGCCCATTCATTTGAGGAAGAAGAATCTGCCTCTATTTGTACCTATGAAACGTAGTCAAACCAAGACAGGTTGTCTCTTTTCAAGGCAAAGTTCCAATCCCTCATTATGCCATGGTTTAAACTCCCTCCTCTGAATACTCACAGCCTTGGGAGCCCCTGCACTTTCAGTGTGCCTAGTTATACACTGTCTTATGTCATGAGCTCACACTTTCTTGTCTCCTTCAAAGGTGGTTTATGCTATACATATTTTTGTTATATATATATATATAAAGATATATATATTTGTTTTATATAAAGATATATGTATCTTTATGTTTTATATAAAGATATATGTGTATGTGTGTGTGTGTATATATATATATTTCTCTTATACTACCTGGCACTATGATAAGTTTGATTAAAAAGTGTATTTCTTTTATGACTTTGTTCTCAAAAGACGAAATTCCTAAGAGTTTTGTCAAGTGTTTTTTTTTTTTTTCTTTTGGCACATGGAACTCTTTCCACAAGAATTTTCTCAGCTAAAGCATCAGCATGTTTAGCCTTACTGCTGGCATTTTGAACTCCTTAGATTCCAATCTATCATTTTACATTGCTAATGATTTCTCTAAATCCAGATCCAACCAGGTGTCTTGGGAATCAGTGGAGCCACATCACCTATAGAATAAAATCTGTTAGCAGCTCACGATGCAAAGCTCATAAGCCCAACTCGCTCTGCCCTGACTTGCACTTCAGACTCCAGGCTAACTCACTAACACTTTCACACATGAGCTGTTTTATACTTTCTCAGTTTGCCCACACCATTTCCTTAGCGAGTAATGTTTTTCCCTATTTGGGTCCATCTGGTCAACTCCTACCCTCACTTTCAGGTTTAGCCCCGTGTGTTCTGTAACTACGCCCCCTGAATCATCCCTGTGCACCCATGCTGAGTTGTGCACACAACTCTAGGTCAGCGCTAATCACACCATTCAGCACTGTAAAAACAAAACCAATAAAAACCCAAACCCAGATCATATCTATGACTAGTTTGTGGACTTCTTGAGAGCAGAGCTGTATCTTAGTTGTCTTTATACCTTCAGAGTCTAGCACAGCAACTGGCACGCAGAGAGGCTCCATAAATGCATAAATGAAATGCTGTCCTGAGAATGAAAGCAAATGTGGAAAACTATTCTTAATTTTCTAAATATTTTCATATGCTTATAAGAAATTAAGATATGAATTTGAAGAATATGCAGCTACACTTTCTGAATGCTTTACACACCAGGGCCTATTAAATAACTTAATAATAGTATCAACGTTTGAAGCTTATTATGCTTCTCTTTTGTCTTGCAATAAAAGTGTGATTCTGTTCTAACTATCACTCTCATTATTTGGTTGTATGGACCCTGTGGCAGAGACTACTGACTGTCCTCTAAGATTCTTTCTTGCTTTCCTCCACAATAAAATGATTGTTGCTGAGAATATGGTTGCCTACATATATTGTATTTTCCAGATACCCTTGCATTAGATGTGACCAAAGGATAGTTCTCAGCAGTGAAATATGAGCACAGGTGATATGATGTGTAGTACTTGCCTGTTGACTTCTTAAAACATTGCGGGGTGCTTTTTCCGTATCCACTTTCCCCTTCTGGACGGGTAGAACCCAGGTGACCCAGTGAGACCGTGAAAGTGATGACAGGCTCTGGGGTTATGGGAAACAGCTCTTTTGTAGGAACATGAGTCCCTGAGTGACCATGTGGAGTGGAGCTGTCTGCCAGCCTGGAATGCTCACTTCATACTTATACATGTGATAGAAATTAATTTCTGTGTTTTTCAAAGCCACTGCCTTTGTGCTACAGCGATCTAACCTTATCTTAATGAACATAGGCATTTTACCTTAATGGAGATGAAGTCACCTGGTCACTAAGACATTGCATTGAAGGCATGAAGATGAAACAACCTGTCTACCATTTCCCTCACAGATCTTAGAAAAGGACACTCTCAAGCCACAACATCTGACACTCGATTAATTGTATTTACAAGACAGAGTTTTGCATGCTTTTTCTGCTCCATTTTCTACCTTCACCTCCACCATGTACCTACCTATCCACAAATAAAATCTACCCACAAATAAAAATAAAAATAAAAACATACCCACAAATAAAGTTCATCTGAGGTGTTAATAATGCCAATCCCAAATAGCAATCTTCTCACAACGTTAGTCGACATATTAGGAAAATCTGAGGATTCCACTCTCTAAGTAAAGGTAGGATCAGGGGTAGTGTTCAGGCAGGTTAGTGTTCAGATACCAGGACACTCTTGGTTCAGAATCACAGACCGTTGAGAAGGGTGTCTCATAAGGCCCATCACAGACACAAAAGGGACAGGGCTGAATGTTCTTCAGGCCACACCCTATTATTTTCTTTTATTATTATTATTATTATTATTATTATTATACTTTAAGTTCTAGGGTATATGTGCACAACGTGCAGATTTGTTACATATGTATACATGTGCCATGTTGGTTTGCTGCACCCATTAACTCGTCATTTACATTAGGTATTTCTCCTAACGCTATCCCTCTCCCTGCCCCCCACCCCACGACATGCCTTGGGGTGTGATGTTCCCTGCTCTGTGTCCAAGTGTTCTCACTGTTCAATACCCACTTACGAGTGAGAACATGCGGTGTTTGGTTTTCTGTCCTTGTGACAGTTTGCTGAGAATGATGGTTTCCAGCTTCATCCATGTCCTTGTAAAGGACATGAACTCATCCTTTTTTATGGCTGCATAGTATGCCATGGTGTATATGTGCCACATTTTCTTAATCCAGTCTATCATTTGGGTTGGTTCCAAGTCTTTGCTATTGTGAATAGTGCCGCAATAAACATGTGTGCATGTGTCTTTACAGTAGCATGATTTATAATCCTTTGGGTACATACCCAGTAATGGGATTGCTGGGTCAAATGGTATTTCCAGTTCTAGATCCTTGAGGAATTGCCACACTGTCTTCTACAATGGTTGAAATGGTTTACACTCCCATGAACAGTGTAAAAGCGTTCCTATTTCTCCACATCCTCTCCAGCATCTGTTGTTTCCTGACTTTTTAATGATCACCATTCTAACTGGTGCAAGATGATATCTCATTGTGGTTTTGATTTGCATTCCTCTGATGGCCAGTGATGATGAGCATTTCTTCATGTGTCTGTTGGCTGCATAAATGTCTTCTTTTGAGAGTGTCTATTCATATCCTTTGCCCACTTTTTGATGTTTTTTTTTCCCTTGTAAGTTTGTTTAAATTCTTTGTAGATTCTGGATATTAGCCCTTTGTCAGATGGGTAGATTGCAAAAATTTTCTCCCATTCTGTAGGTTGCCTGTTCACTCTGATGTTACTTTCTTTTGCTGTGCAGAAGCTCTTTTGTTTAATTAGATCCCATTTGTCAATTTTGGCTTTTGTTGCCATTGCTTTTGGTGTTTTAGTCATGAAGTCTTTGCCCATGCCTATGACCTGAATGATGTTGCCTAGGTTTTCTTCTAGGGTTTTTATGGTATTTTCTTAAATAGAACAATTATTATCAATTTCAAATAAATTTGTGGCAGGCTGCTGTGCATTTACCAAAATGATTTCTTATCCTCCTAGGCATAGTTTGATTATATTTTTGCAGCCTTTATCTCAGATGTGTCCACAAACCAAGTTTAGGCTAATAGAAAGTAAGAAGTGATATATGTCATTTTTGGACAAAGAGTTAAGAAGTAGGTATATCTTCCCTGTGCTCTCTTTATACTTTAGCTGAATGAAGAGAGAGAATGCTGAAGATCCAGAAGGGGATGCAGCCACAAGATGGAAGGAACTCATCCACCCATATGAAAGATCATAAGGAAAACCATCTGCCAACCAGGAACATCTGACTGGGCTCTATCAAACACCAGGTTGTGATGTTTGTGTATTATAGCAGCTAACTTTACTCATCCTAACTAATATAGGGTTTTTCTGGAAAACATAGCAATGGTTAACATTCTGCAAATAGGGAGGAAAAAACACTGAGTTACTATAATTCATCACGTTACTAAGGCATTTAGACAGACTTATACAGTTAAAAACTCCCCTTTCAGATGCATAGCTTAGGTTCCAAGGAAGGGTTAAAATGCTGTACCTTTTTTAATTTAATTTTTTTATTTTTAATTTTTGTGGGTACTTAGTAGGTGTATATATTTATGGGGTACATGAGATATTCTGCTACAGGCATGCAATGCATTATAATCACATCATGGAAAATCGAGTATCTATCCCCTCAAGCATTTATCCTTTGTGTTACAAACAATCCAGTTATATTATTTTAGTTATTTTAAAAAGTACAATTAAATTATTATTGACTATAGTCCCCATGTTGTGCTGTCAAGTACTACGTCTTATTCATTCTATTTCTTTTTGTACTCATTAACCATCCCCCCTCCTCTTCAGCCCTCCACCCCCAACCACACTATCTTTCCCAGCCTCTGGTAACCATCTTTCTATTCTCTACCTCCATGAGTTCAATTGTTTTCACTTTTGGATCTCACAAATAAGTGAGAACAACATGTGAAGTTTGTCTTTCTGTGCCTGGCTTATGTCGCTTAACATAATGACTTCCAGTTCCCTCCATGTTGTTGTAAATGACAGGATGTCATTCTCTTTTTTTTTTTTTTAATGGCTGACTAGTACTTCATTGTGTATAAGTGCCACGTTTTCTTTATTTATACATCTGCTGATGGACACTTAGGTTGCCTCCAAATCTTGGCTATTGTGAACAGTGCTAGAGCAAGCATAGGAGTGCAGATATCTCTTCAATATATTGATTTCCTTTCTTTTGAATATATACCTGATAATGAGATTGCTGGATCATACAGTAGCACTATTTTTGTCTGTGAGGAACCTCGAAACTTTTCTTCATAGTGGTTGTACTAATTTATATCCCCACCAACAGTGTAGAAATGTTCCCTCTTCTCCACATCCCTGCCAGAATTTGTTGTTGCCAGACTTTTGGATAAAAACCATTTTAACTGTGGAGAGATGATATCTCATTGTAGTTTTGAGTTGTATTCCTATGATGAGCAATGATATTAGCACCTTTTCATATGCCTGTTGGCCACTTGTAGGTCTTCTTTTGAGAAATGTCTATTCAAATTTTTGGCTATTTTTAAACAGTATTATTAGGTCTTTTTCCTACAAAGTAGTTTGAGCTGCTTATATATTCTGGTTATTAATCCCTTATCAGACGGATAGTTTACAAATATTTTCTCCCATTTCTGTGGGTTCTGTGGGTTGTCTCTTCATGTTGTTTCCTTTGCTGTGTAGAAGATTTTTAACTTGACGTGATCCCATTTGTCCATTTTTGCTTTGATTGACTGTTCTTGTAGGGTATTAATCAAGAAATCTCTGCCCAGTCTCATGTCTTGGAGAGTTCCCCAATGCTTTTTTTTAGTAGTTTCATAGTTCGAGGTTTTATATTCAAGTCTTTAATCCATTTTGATTTGAATTTTTGTATATGCGGAAAGATAAGGGTCTAGTTTCTTTATTCTGCATATGGATATCCAGCTTTCCTAGCACCATTTATTGAAAAGACTTTTCCCCAATGTATATTCTTGGCAACTTTGTCAAAAATGAGTTCACTGTAAGTGTGTGGATTTGTTTTGGGGCTCTCTATTCTATCCCATTGGTCTATATGTCTGTTTTTTTATGCTAGTACTTGGCCTTTTTGGTTACTATAGATCTACAGTATAATTTGAGGTCAGGTAATGTGATTCCTCCAGTTTTGTTGTTTTTGCTCAGTATAACTTTGGCTATTCTGAGTCTTTTGTGATTCCACATAAATTTTAGGATTATTTTTTCTATTTCTGTGAAGCACATAATTGGTATTTTTATAGGGATTGCATTGAATCTGTAGATTGCTTTGGGTAGTGTGGGCATCTTAACAATATTGCTTCTTCCAATCTATGAACATGGACTATTTTTCCATTTTTTGTGTCCTCTTCAATTTCTTTTTTTTAGTAGCATGATTATTTTATTATATACTTTATAAAAAAACAAACGCCAAAGACATACACTGTCCCCTCTCCCCCCATCACCTCCCACAGACACTATGGAAGGAGCTCATACTTTTCCTAATGTAGATCTGGCCATCTTATAAAGTAGACCACATTATCAGTTTCCATATATACCCGTAGATACTTTTCTCCCCTCAAATATTTATATCTCGATTTAAAAAAAGGAGGTGCCAAGAGTACATAAAGACAAATGAGATTTTCTTGCTGTTGTTATAGTACAAACACCAGATGACTACCAGGGGAGTAACAGGGGGCAAAACAAAAACACAAACCCCACCTTCAGTGAGGAATGGAAGGTCTGTTACCTGCCTCAAGTTGCTGAATCACCTGCTGTAACTGGCACCTCCCTGACATTCATGGGTTTGTAGGACATGGGCCAGATGATTGCTTCTACTTGTTTCCAGAAGGCATATGTCTCCTACATCCTCTCTTAGTAACTAAAGACATACTACAGGAGAACTCAGTATTTAGATTCTGCCCAGAGGTATTAAATGCACAAGGAAAAATTAGTTATGTCCAAATAGCAAGCAACAATATTTTTAAACCAACATGGTTAAATGTTAAGATTTGTAGAAATCAAAATATTTATTCACATAATTTTAAACTAAAGTTGAAGACAATAAATCTTCCGCTGGTAATGATTTAAGTGCAAGTGATGTTTGGCTTTCTTTCACATTCATTTCTTTTCTTCAGAGTGAAGGCATATCAGTTATTCTTGAACAAGTCAATACAGCTCTGCAAAAGGGAGACACTGTTCCTCGCATGTTTTATTTCCAGTTCAGACATTTCAATTAGATTCTTTCTAAATGCTGCCACTTTCTTCCGTTTGAAATTTATCAGTTCTTCCTTTGCAGATTTGGAAAGCTATTCAAATTTCTGGCAGCACTCCTCCTAGTGTACCTTAGCCAACTTGACATCTTTGCTCTTTAAACTGGGCCTTATCCAGAGCTTTGTTTGATTTTTCATAGTCAATGAGGGCTTTGGTGCATCTGTGTAAGAGATCCTTAGCAGCTTCGATGTTGAGCATGTAGTATCGGAGGAGCTCTGTTAGCTTTAAATCTTCATCTGATGAGATTCAACCCTCTACTTTCCTAAGTTTTTCAAATAGCTCAGCAACCTTCAATAGATACTTTTTGATGACTGTGGGCTCTTCTAAAGCCAGGCTATGTAAGCAGGCTGCAGTGTGAATATAGTCATCGGCAACATTTTTATGAGATCTGGTCATTTTGTCAGCTTTCACACAAGAATCTTTGATCCTACTCTAATAGTTAATAAGGAAGTCATTCTCTTGCTCAAAGAAGTCATCTACCTCCTTAACTCCAGTAAAAAGGACTGCATCAGCACTTTCACCACACTTTTGAAGAAGCCACCAAACATCTCTTTAGTATTTTTCCACCTAACACTTAGATCCTGATCATATTCCAGGAAAATATGAAAGTTGCGATCTTTACTGAGAACAGGGTGAGAAGAAAGCCACTAAAGAAAGGCTTCATGGGAGGACACAGTCTTCTTAAAAACAGCGAGATACTCAGCTTCCAGTTCTTATTTCATCTTGGCAAATTCTTCTTTGGTCAAAGACCCTTTACCTTCTCCCAGTTTCTGCATCTTCTCTCAAGGACCATTGAAGTCAGCCTTCGTAGGAGCAGGCGGAATCTGCAGCAGAGGCAGGAACTCATGAGTCTCTTGTCCCAGAAGCGATGTTTTCTAGCTGGTGCCTCGTTCTACTCTTGCTGGTCCACAGGAGACAACCACTCCACTCCTATGGGGCTATTTAAAAGTCAACTCCTGTTTTTTCTTAACCTTCCTTATTTCTTCTGGCCATTTAAAAGGAGGTATCTTCCTGTATTCACTTTGATGGCAATCATTTGCCCAGTTTATCCATTACAGACAATCGTTCAGAGCACAACAGTGTCTATACTGCTTCAATGTTGGCCTAAAACTAGTACAACAAATGCTAAACACCAATGATTAGCCATCAAGATTATGAAGTCTCCAGTATTCCAAAGGATTTTTTTCCTAATCCCAAAGGATAATCAAGGACTTTGATTTTGAATGAACAGAACATATCTAAATATAAGCTTCAGTACTAATTTTGTTCAATTATTAAGAAATTGTCATTTGGACAGATTCTTCAGTCTGCATGGCAGGACAAAATGCATGGAAATCTCCTTTAAAATCAGCTAAGCCTCTGTTCCTGCAGCCAAGAATTAACAATCAAGGGCTGAAAACTGCCTCCTTGAGCACTTTTTTGTTTTTGGGAGACAGAGTCTCACTCTGTCACCCAGGCTGGAGTGAAGTGGTGCAACCTCGGCTCACTGCAACTTCTACCTCCCAGGTTCAAGTGATTCTCATGCCTCAGCCTCCCCAGTAGCTGGGACTACAGGTATGTGCCACCATGCTCAGCTAATTTCTTATATTTTTAGTAGAGACAAGGTCTCATGATGTTGCCTAGGCAGGTCTTGAAATCTTGAGCTCAGTAATCCATCCACCTCAGCTTCCCAAAGTGTTAGGATTACAGGCATGGCCTCCTTCAGCACTTTTGAGAAATCTTATCACATACTATTACCAATACTAATGTTTCCTAGAAATCAATTCTACTGACATTGGAAAGAACATACCAGAGAAAAACCAAACCTAAAGGTAAATAAGACTAAAGTCATTACACTGTTTATACCACTTTACAACATAAATAATGTAAGCCTGTATGCATTACCTCAAAGCTGTAACACTATTCCTTCACATATTTTCCACTTACCCAATAGTTAGCAAATACTCTAGTAGGTAGATGAAATCAAAATTTTCACAATCCATTATAAAAAGTGGATATAAGTCTCTTTAAACTAAATGAATAGCAAGGCAGAAAGAACTAGCTTATTTGATTTTCTAAAACACTCACAATAAGCCCAGCATGGTCTGTTCTTTCTTTTTTTTTTTTTTTTTTTTGTTATACTTTAAGTTCTAGGGTACATGAAGAGTGTCATGTAGTCACACAAAGTCCTCATGTTGCCTTGTAACAGAAAACTCTGGATTCTGAAATGTGGGCAGTGTGGTCTTTGTGTGCACTGTAAATTTGACCTTATCTCTCTCACTGAGCGCATCAGGTATGTCAATCTGAAGTGAGGGATCAACATTCAGGTCCACAGATACAGATCTCAGCTTCCTGTGGTCCTCCTCCTGCTGCTGCAGCAACTCAGGAACTGTGGCCATGGCAACGCAGGACTCAAGCAGGTGCCACCTGACCTTGCTGTGCTCCAGGAGGAGGCCGCCGACCGCAGGGCCATGATGGGGACGCAAAGCCATGGATACTCTCCCAGCAGGGCATCTCTAGAAAAAGCCTCTTCCATTTCTTTCGTCAGTGTTCTATAGTTTTCATTGTGGAGATCTTTTGCTTCTTTGGTTAATTCCTAGTTCTTTGATTGTATTTGTAGCTATTGTAAATGGGATTACTTTCTTGACTTCTTTTTCAGATTGTTCACTGCTGGCATATAGAAATGCTACTGATTTTTGTATGTTGACTTTGTATCCTGCAACTTCACTGAATGTATCAGCTCTAATAGATTTTTGGTGGAGTCTTTAGGTTTTTTCCAAATATAAAATCATATCATCTGTAAACAAGGATAATTTGATGTCTTCCTTTCCAATTTGGGTGCCATTTATTTCTTTCTCATATTTGATTGCTTTAGCTAGGACTTCCAGTACTATGTTGAATAACAGTGGTGAAAGCGGACATCCTTATTATGCTCCAGATTTTAGAGGAAGTGTTTTCACTTTTCCCCACTCAGTATGATACTAGCTGTTGGTCTGTCATATGTGGCTTTTATTATGTTGAAGTATTCTCCTTCTACACCCAGTTTTTTGAGGGTTTTTATCATGAATAAATGTTGAACTTTATCAAATTCTTTCTTTGTCATCAATTGAAATGATCATATGGTTTTCATCCTTCATTCTGTTGATATGATGTATCACACTGGTTGACTTGCATATGTTGAACCATCCTTGCATCTCTGGAATAAATCCCACCTGGTTATAATGAATGATCTTTTTCATGTATTGTTGAATTTTGATTGCCAATATTTTGTTGAGGATTTTTGATTCAATATTAATCAAAGATATTGGCCTGTAGTTTTCTTTTTTTGATGTGTCTTTGTCTGGTTTTGGTATCAGGGTAATACTGGACTCATAGAATGAGTTTGGAAATATTCCCTCCTCTTCCATTTTTTAGAACAGTTCAAGTAGGATTGCTATTAGATCTTCTTTAAATGTTTGGTAGAATTCAGCAGTGAAGCAATTGGGTCCTGGGCTTTTCTTTACTGAGAGACTTTTCAGTATGGCTTCTATCTTGTTACTCATTATTGGTCTGTTCAGATTTTGGAATTCCTCATGGTTCAATCTTGGTAAGTTGTATGAGTCTAAGAATTTGTGCATTTCTTCTAGATTTTCCAATTTATTGGCATATAGTTGCTCATAGTATCCTCTAATAATTATTTGAATTTCTGTGGTATCAGTTGTAATGTCTCCTTTTTCATATCTGATTTTATTTATTTGGGTCTTCTCTCTTAATAATCAATGAAATTTAGATAACACTATAATTAACAACAGCAGAATATACACTAGTCCCCTTTTATCCACAGGTAATACATTCCAAGACCCTCAGAAGATGCCACAGATACTACTGAACCTTATATATATATTGCACAAATTTCTGTTTCCTTCTTCACAATTTCATGCATAGAAGATTCTTACCAACTGTAAGAATATATCTTACAGTTGTATATCTTAGCAACTTCAGTGTAAGATTTTTTCTTTTCTTCTTTACTTATTAAGTTGAGAACTTTCACCTTTTCACTTAAACAAAGCACTTTACAGCTTCTCTTTGGCATACCCAAATTGCCAGCATCAATACTCTTGCACTTCGATGACATAATTAAGTAAAATAAGGGTTACTTGAATACAAGTACTGTGATACAGTGGCAGTATCTGATAACCAAGACGGCTACGAAATGACTAATGGGCAGGTAGTGTGAACGGTGTAGATATGCCAAACAAGGAATGATTCACATCTCATGTGGGAGGGAGCAGGACAATGTGAGATTTCATCATGCTACTCAGATTTGTGCACAATTTAAAACTTATGAATTGTTTATTTCTGGAATTTTCCATTTAATATTTTTGGACCGTTGTTGATAGTGGGTCACTGAAACTGTGGAAAGCAAAACTGTGGAAAAAGGGGAACTACTAATCTTTTATTATTATTATTATTATTATTATTATTATTATAATACTTTAAGTTCTGGGATACATGTGCAGAATGTGCAGGTTTGTTACACAGGTATACATGTGCCATGGTGGTTTGTTGCACCCAATAACCCATCATGTACATTAGGCATTTCTCCTAATGCTATCCCTTCCCTAGCCTCCCACCCATCAACAGTCTCTGGTGTGTGATGTTCCCCTCCGCGTGTCCATGTGGGGAACTACTAGTCTTTTCAAATGTACTTGGAACATTTTCCAAGATATCATACTGTGGGTCATAAAACATTTCTCAGTAAATTTAAAAGAACTGAAACCACACAAACTATGTCCTTTGAATGAAGTTAGAAACTAACAGCAAGTGGAAATTTAGAAAATCTCCCAAGCATTTGGTAATTAAACAATACGCTTCTACATAGTAACTCACAGATCACAGAAGAACTCACAAAGGAAATTAGAAAATATTTTGGACTGATTAAAAATAAAAACACAATTTGGGGGATATAGCTAAGCAGTGCTTAGAGGAAATTTATAGCATTAAACTCATATTTGAAAATGAGAAAGACCTCACATAAATAATTAGGCATTTACCTTAAGAAATTAGAAAAAGGAGCAATTAAATGCAAAGCAAGCATGAGGAACAAAATGAAAGATAACAGCAAAAATCAATGAAAAATGAAACATAAAAACAATAGAAAAACATCATTAAAACCAAAAGCTGGTTCTTTAAAAGATCAATAGAACTGATAAACTTTTAGACAGAATGAACAGGAAAAGAGAAGACATTAATTACCAATTTCAGGAATGACCAATATGATATCATAACACATCCTATAGGAATTAGAAAGAAGATAAGAGAATATTATAAACAAATTTATGCCAATAAATTCACAAATTGACTCTTTCAAAGGCAAAAAAAAAAAAAAAAAAAAAAAAAAAAAAAAAGATAACCTGGACAACCTTCCATCCATTAAATGACTAAGATTGCATTAAAAGCCTTCCTGCAAAGAAAACTCCAGGCCCAGGTGGCATCACTGGTACAATTTACCAAACATTCAAGATGGAAATAACACCATTTCTACTTTCTAGAAGAAAGTACGTTTCCTAACTCACTTTATGAGGCCAACATCACCTCAATAACAAAAAGACACTAGAAGTAAAAAGTTACAGGCCAATAACCCTCATGAAGATAGATGGAAAAATCCTGAAAGTATTTTAGCAAATCAAATATTGCAACACTCATAAAAGGTAATATATTATGATGAAGTGGGATCCTTGGAATGCAAGATCATCCTATTATTTCATAATGAATCAATTTAATTAATATATTGTCCAGCTTTTAAGAAACAGGATTGAGAACAGAAGATGGCTGAATAGGAACAGCTTCAGTCTGTGGGATCAGTGCAAAAGGTGGGTGATTTCTGCATTTCCAAATGAAGTACCCAGCTCATCTCATTGGGACTGGTTAGACAGTGGGTACAGCCCACGGAGGGCAAGCCAAAGCAGGCTAGGGCACTGTCTCACCCAGGAAGCACAAGGGGTCGGGGAACTCCCTCCCCTAGCCAAGAGAAGCCCTGAGGGACTGTGCTGTGAGGAATGGTGCACTCTGGCCCAGATTAGTATCTTTTCCCATAGTCTTCATAACCTGCAGACCAGGAGATTCCCTCAGGTGCCTGTGCCACCAGGGCCCTGGGTTTCAAGCACAAAGCTGGGCAGCCTTTTGGGCAGACACCAAGCTAGTTGTAGGAATTATTTTTCATACCCCAGTGGTGCCTGGAATGCCAGCAAGACAGAGCTGTTCACTCCCCTGGAAAGGGGGCTGAAGCCAGGGAGCCAAGCAGTCTAGCTCAGCGGATCCCACCCCTACGGAGCCCAGCAAGCTAAGAGCCACAGGCTTGAAATTCTTGCTGCCAGCATAGCAGTCTGAAGTTGACCTGGGATGCTCAAGCTTGGTGGGGGGAGGGGTGTCCGCCATTGCTGAGGCTTGAGTAGGTAATTTTCCCCTCACAGTGTAAACAAAGCCGCCAGGAAGTTAGAACTGGGTGGAGCCCACTGCAGCTTGGCAAAGCCACTATAGCCAGACTGCCTCTCTAGATTCCTCCTCCCTGGGCAGGGCATCCCTGAAAGAAAGGCAGCAGCCCCAGTCAGGGGCTTATAGATAAAACTCCCACCTCTCTGGGACAGAGCACCTGGGGGAAGCAGTGGCTGTCGGGGCAGCTTCAGCAGACGTAAATGTTCCTGCCTGCCAGCTCTGAAGAGAGCAGCAGATCTCCCAGCACAGTGCTCGAGCTCTGCTAAGGGACAGACTACCTCCTCAAGTGGGTCCCTGATGCCCATGCCTCCTGACTGGGAGACACCTCCCAGCAGGGGTCGACAGACACCTCATACAGGAGAGCTCCAGCTGGCATTTGGGGGGTGCCCCTCTGGGCTCAAGCTTCCAGAGGAAAAAATAGGCAGCAATCTTTGCTGTTCTGCAGCCTCCACTGCTGATACCCAGGCAAACAGGGTCTGGAGTAGACCTCCAGCAAACTCCAGCAGACCTGCAGCAGAGGGGTCTGGCTGCTAGAAGGAAAACGAACAAACAGAAAGGAACAGCATCAACATCAACAAAAAGGATGTCCACTCAAAAACCCCAGGTGAAGATCACCAACATCAAAGACCAAAGGTAGATAAATCCACGAAGATGAGGAAAAAACAGCACAAAAAGGCTGAAAATTCCAAAAACCAGAATGCCTCTTCTCCTCCAAAGGATCATAACTCCTTGCCAGCAAGGGAACAAAACTGGATGGAGAATGAGTTTGACGAATTGACAGAAGTAGGCTTCAGAAGGTGGGTAATAACAAACTCCTCCAAGCTAAAGGAGCATGTTCTAACCCAATGCAAGGAAGCTAAGAACCTTGAAAAAAGGTTAGAGGAATTGCTAACTAGAATAACCAGTTTAGAGGACATAAATGACCTGATGGAGCTGAAAAACACAGCATGAGAACTTTGTGAAGCATATACAAGTATCAATAGTCGAGTCGATCAAGCAGAAGAAAGGATATCAGAGACTGAAGATCAACTTAATGAAATAAAGTGTGAAGACAAGATTAGAGAAAAAAGAATGAAAAGGAACAAACAAAGCCTTCAAGAAATATGGGACTATGTGAAAAAACCAAACCTACATTTGATTGGTGTACCTGAAAGTGATGGGGAGAATGGAACCAAGTTGGAAAACACTCTTCAGGATATTATCCAGGAGAACTTCCCCAGCCTACAAAGACAGGCCAACATTCAAATTCAGGAAATACAGAGAACACTACAAAGATACTCCTGAGAAGAGAACCCCAAGACACATAACTGTCAGATTCACCAAGGTTAAAATGAAAAAAAAAAAGTGTTAAGGGCAGCCAGAGAGAAAGGGTTGGGTTACCCACAAAGGGAAGCCCATCAGACTAACAGCAGATCTCTCTGCAGAAACCCTACAAGCCAGAAGAGAGTGGGGGCCAATATTCAACATTCTTAAAAAAAAGAATTTTCAACGCTGAATTTCATATCCAGCCAAACTAAGCTTCGTAAGCGTAGGAGAAATAAAATCCTTTACAGACAAGCAAATGCTGAGAGATTTTGTCACCACCAGGCTGGCCTTACAAGAGCTCCTGAAGGAAGCACTAAATATGGAAAGGAAAAACTGGGACCAGCCACTGCAAAAACATACCAAATTGTCAAGACTATTGACGCTATGAAGAAACTACCTCAACTAACAGGCAAAACAACCAGCTAGCATCCTAACGATAGGATCAAATTCACACATAACAATATTATCCTTAAATGTAAATGGGCTAAATGCCTCAATTAAAAGACACAGGTTGGCAAACTGGATAAAGAGTCAAGACCACCCATCTGTGTGCTGTATTCAGGAGATCCATCTCCATGCAAAGACATACATGCGCTCAAAATAAAGGGATGGAGAATATTTACCAAGCAAATGGAAAGAAAAAAAAAGCAAGGATTGCAATCATAGTCTCTGATAAAACAGACCTAAACCAACAAAGGTCAAAAAAGACAGAGAAGCGCATTACATAATGGTAAAGGGATCAATGCAACAAGAAGAGCTAACTGTCCTAAATATATATGCACCCAATACAGGAGCACCCAGATTCATAAAGCAAGTTCTTAGAGACCTACAAAAAGACTTAGACTCCCACACAATAATAATGGGAGATTTAATACCCCACTGTCAATATTGGACAGATCAATGAGACACAAAATTAACAAAGATATTCAGAACTTGAACTCTGCTCTGGACCAAGCGAACCTAATAGACATCTACAGAACTCCCCACTGCAAATCAACAGAATATACATTCTTCTCAGCACTACATTGCACTTATTCTAAAATTGACCACATAATTGGAAGTAAAACACTCCTCAGCAAATGCAAAAGAACGGAAATCATAACAAACAGTCTTTCAGACCACAGTGCAATCAAATTAGAACTCAGGATTAAGAAACTCACTCAGAGCTGCACAACTACATGGAAACTGAACAACCTGCTCCTGAATGACTACTGGGTAAATAACGAAATTAAGGCAGAAATAAATAAGTTATTTGAAACTAATGGGAACAAAGGCACAACGTACCAGAATCTCTGGGAAACTGCGGAAGCAGTGTTTGCAGGGAAATTTATAGCACTAAATGCCCACAGGAGAAAGCGGGAAAGATCTATAATTGACATCCTAACATCACAATTAAAAGAACTAGAGAAGCAAGAGAAAACACATTCAAAAGCTAGCAGAAGACAAGAAGGCTGACTAAGATCAGAGCAGAACTGAAGGAGACAGACATGAAAAACCCTTCAAAATATCAAATAATCCAAGAATTGTTTTTTAAAAAAGATTAAAAAATACATAGACCACTAGCCAGACTAATAAAGAAGACAAGAGAGAAGAATCAAATAGGCACAATAAAAAATGATAAAGGGGATATAACCACTGATCCCACAGAAATACAATCTACCATCAGAGAATACTATAAACACCTCTACACAAAGAAACTAGAAAATCTAGAAGAAATGGATAAATTCCTGGACACATACACCCTCCCAAGGCTAAACCAGGAAGAAGAAAAAGAAGAAGGAAGATGTCGAACCCCTGAATAGCCCAATAACAAGTTCTGAAATTGAGGCAGTAATTAATAGCCTACCAACCAAACAAAGGCCAGGACCAGAAGGATTCACAGCTGAATTCTACCACAGGTAAAAAGAGGAGATGGTACCATTCCTTCTGAAACTATTCCAAACAATAGAAAATGAGGGACTTC
This sequence comes from Homo sapiens, assembly GCF_000001405.40. Taxonomy (NCBI): domain Eukaryota; kingdom Metazoa; phylum Chordata; class Mammalia; order Primates; family Hominidae; genus Homo; species Homo sapiens. The sequence goes on along the minus strand of NC_000012.12, from coordinate 101,059,390 downwards.
TCCCTAACTCATTTTATGAGGCCAGATCATCCTGATACCAAAACCTAGCAGAGACACAACAAAAAAAGAAAATTTCAGGCCAATATCACTGATGAACATCTATGCGAAAATCCTCAATGAAATACTGGAAAACTGAATCCAGCAGCACATCAAAAAGCTTATCCACCACAATCAAGTTGGCTTCATCCCTGGGATGCAAGGCTGGTTCAACATATGCAAATTAATAAACATAATCCATCACAAAAACAGAACCAATGACAAAAGCCACATGATTATCTCAATAGATACAGAAAAGGCCTTCGATAAAATTCAACACCGCTTCATGCTAAAAACTCTCAGTAAACTAGGTATTGATGGAATGTATCTCAATATAATAAGAGCTATTTATGACAAACCCACAGCCAATATCATATGAAGGGGCAAAAGCTGGAAGCATTCCCTTCAAAAACCAGCACAAAATAAGAATGCCCTCTCTCACCACTCCTATTCAACACAGTATTGAAAGTTCTGGTCAGGGCAATCAGGCAAGAGAAAGAAATAAAGGGTATTCAAATAGGAAAAGAGGAAGTCGAATTGTCTCTATTTGCAGATGACATGACTGTATATTTATAAAACCCCATCGTCTCAGCCCCAAATCTCCTTAAGCTGGTAAGCAACTTTAGCAAAATCTCAGGATACAAAATCAATGTGCAAAAATCACAAGCATTCTTATACACCAAGAACAGATAAACAGAGAGCCAAATCATGAATGAACTCCCATTCACAATTGCTACAAAGAGAATAAAATACCTAGGAATACAACTTACAAGGGATGTGAAGGGCCTCTTCAAGGAGAATTACAAACCACTGCTCAAGGAAATGAGAGAGGACACAAACAAATGGAAAAATATTCCATGCTTATGGATAGGAAGAATCAATATTGTGAAAATGGCCATACTTCCCCAAGTAATTTATAGATTCAATGCTATCCACATCAAGCTACCACTGACTTTCTTCACAGAATTAGAAAACACTACTTTAAATTTCATATGGAACCAAAAAAGAGCCCATATAGCCAAGACAATCCTAAGCAAAAAGAACAAAGCTGGAGGCATCACGCTACCTGACTTCAAACTATACTACAAGGCTACAGTAACCAAAACAGCATGGTACTGGTACCAAAACAGACATATAGACCAATGGAACAGAACAGAGGCCTCAGAAATAACGCCACATTTCTACAACCATCTAATCTTTGATAAACCTGACAAAAACAGCAATGGGGAAAGGATTCCCTATTTAATAAATGGTGTTGGGAAAACTGGCTAGCCATATGCAGAAAATTGAAATTGGACCCCTTCCTTACACTTTATTCAAAAATTAATTCAAGATCGGTTAAAAAATTAAATGTAAAACCTAAAACCATAAAAATCCTAGAGGAAAACCTAGGCAATACCATTCAGGACATAGGCATGGGCAAAGACTTCATGACTACAACACCAAAACCAATTACAACAAAAGCCAAAATAGACAAATGGGATCTAATTAAACTAAAGAGCTTCTGCACAGCAATGGAAACTATCATCAGAGTGAACAGGCAACCTATAGAATGGGAGAAAATTTTTGCAATCTATCCATCTGACAAAGAGCTAATATCCAGAATCTACAAGCAACTTAAACAACTTTACAGGAAAATACAAACAACCCCATAAAAAGTGGGCAAAGGATATGAACAGAAACTTCTCAAAAGAAGACATTTACACAGGCAACAAACATATGAAAAAAAGCTCATCATCACTGGTCATTAGAGAAATGCAAATCAAAACCACAATGAGATACCATCTCATGCCAGTTAGAATGGCAATCACTAAAAAGTCAGGAAACAACAGATGCTGGAGAGGATGTGGAGAAATAGGAACGCTTTTACACTAATTACACTTTTGGTGGGAGTGTAAATTAGTTCAATCATTGTGGAAACCAATGTGGTGACTCCTCAAGGATCTAGAACCAGAAATACCATTTGACCCAGCAATCCCATTACTGAGTATACACCCAAAGGATTATAAATCATTCTACTATAAAGACACATGCACACGTATATTTATTGTGGCACTATTCACAATAGCAAAGACTTCGAACCAACCCAAATGCCCATCAATGATAGACTGAATAAAGAAAATGTGGCACATACACAACATGGAATACTATGCAGCCATAAAAAAGAATGAGTTCATGTCCTTTTCAGGGACATGGATGAAGCTGGAAACCATCATTCTCAGCAAACTAACATAGGAAGAGAAAACCAAACACTGCATGTTCTCACTCCTAAGTGGGAGTTGAACAATGAGAACACATGGACACAGGGCAGGGACCATCACACACTGGGGCCTGTTGGGGGATAGGGGGATCGGGGAGGGAAAGCATTAGGAGAAATACCTAATGTAGATGACGATTTGAAGGGTGCAGCAAACCACGATGGCACATGTATACCTATGTAAGAAACCTGCACGTTCCACACATGTATCCCAGAACTTGAAGTATAAAAAAATAAAAGAAAGAAAGAAACAGGATTGTCTTAGTTAATACAGGAAAAGCTTTTGGCAAAATTCTATACCCATTCATGATTTTTAAAACCCTCAGTTCCTAATAATAGAAGGAATGTCCTTCAACTTGATAACAGACATATATGAAAACCTGTGGTTTCTATCATACTTAATGTTGAAAGACTAAACACATTCCCCTAAGACTGGGCATAAGGCAAGGATGTCTAGTACATAACTTGTATCCAGCATTATTCTGGAGGTCCTAACCAGTATAAGGCAAGAAAAAGAAATAAAACTCATATAGATTAGAAAGAAAGAAAACTTATTTATTTTATAAATTTCTTAATCATCTATGTTGAAAATATTAAGGAATCTATAAAAAAGCTAGAAGCACTAATAACTGAGTTTAGTAAGTCACAAGATATATGGTCAATATACAAAAGTTAATTGTATTTCTATGTAGTAGCAATGAATAACTGGCAATTGAAATTACAGAAAAATACTATTTGTAAAAAACTCAAAAAATCCAATATATAGGCATAAATTTAACAAAATATCTGGAAGCCTTGTACATTGAAAATAATAAGACATTGCTTAGAGAAATTACAGAATATGTAAATAAACAAAAAGCTAAATGACACTCAATCTTTCCAAACTGACATTGATTCAACTTAATCCCAATCAAAATATCAACACTTTTTTTGAAGAAATTTAAGTGCTGATTCTACAATTTTTTTGGAAATGCAAAGAACCTAAAACAGCAAAACAATTTTTGAAAAGAAAAATATGATTTTAACAGTTATTATGCCATAATAATCAAGACAGTGGATTATTGCCATGTGTACACATACACATCAAACATAATAAAAATTCTGAAAACAGACCCATACATATATGGCCCATTGATTTCAACCAAAATGTACCAAGAAAATTCAAAAAGGAAAAGAACGGCGTTTTTGACAAATGGTACTAGGAAAACTGGATATCTACATGGAAAGAAATAAATCTGCCCCTTACGTTATGCCATATACAAAAACCAACTTGAAATAAGTCATAAACCTAAACATATGAGCTAAAACGATAAGCTTTTTAGAAGACAATATAGACGAAAATCTTAGAAACTTTGAGTTTGGCAAAGATTTCATAAATAAAACAAAAAATGAGTGCAGAAGAAAATTTAAATTAGACTATATAAAAAGAAAAAACTCTTGGTTTTCAAAAGGCACCATTAAAAAATAAAAATGCAAGACTCAGACAGGGAAAAAAATTTGCAAACACCTGTAAGATGAAGCATTTCTACCTAGAATATATAAAAGTACTCTTTTAACTTAAAAATAAGACAGACAACCCAATAACAAATGGACAAATGATCTGAGCAAACACTTCACCAAGTAAGATGTGCAGATTGCAAATAAGCTCATGAAAAGATGTTCAACATCGCTACTCATTAGGGAAATGCAAATTAAAACTGCAATGGGATAATACCATATACCCACTAAAATGACTAAAATTATAAAGACTGACAATTCCAAGTGCTTGTGAGAATGTGGAACACCTGGAATTCTCATATCATGCTGATATTGACTACAAAACGATATGGCCACTTTGGGAAACAATTTCTTACTAAGTTAGGCATTCACTTATCACATGATCCAGCAATGCCACTTTTAATTATTCATCCAAGATGAATGGCTACAAAGGCTTTTATGAAAATTTACAAAAACAAAAAACTAGAAGAGCCAATAGTTTCTAGGTTTATTTATAGTAGTTAAAAACCATACTGAACCCAAATATTCATTAACTGGTAAGTAGACGAACAAATTATGACATAGCCAGGCTCTGGAATACTACTCTGTACTAAAAAGAAACCAGCTACTGACACAGGCAACAGCATAAATGAATCTCAACAGCATTAACTGAAGTGAAAGTAGCCAGACACAAAATGCTATATATTGAATAATTTAATCTGCATGAAATTCTAGAACAGCTGAAACTACAGTGGTAAAAAGCAGGTTTCAGGTTGCCAAGGGACTGACTGCAGAGGCATGAGGAAACTTTTGAGAGGATAAAAATGTTCTCTTAGGCCGGGCACGGTGGCTCCCACACTTTGGGAGGCCAAGGCGGGCGGATCACAAGGTCAGAAGATCCAGACCATTCTGGCTAACACAGTGAAACCCCGTCTCTACTAAAAATACAAAAAAATTAGCTGGGCGTGGTGGCGGGCGCCTGTAATCCCAGCTACTCGAGAGGCTGACGCAGGAGAATGGCGTGAAGCCGGGAGGCGGAGCTTGCAATGAGCCGAGATTGTGCCACTGCACTCCAGCCTGGGGGACAGAGCGAGACTCCGTCTCAAAAAAAAGAAAAAAAGTTCTCTTATATATCATCATTATGGTGATGCTTCCATGACTATATATATTTGACCTAATTTGTTGAATTGTTCACTTAAAGTTGCTGGATTTTATTGCACATAAATTATACTTAAAGTTGAAAAAAATCTTCCCACAATCCCACCACATAAAGCAAACCACCATTAATATTATGGCATCATTTCTTTCTGTTTTCATTTACATTTAATATACTCAAAATCGTGTTTTACTTGTATACTTTATACCCTACTTTAAAAAAATTTAAATACAAGCTTTGTATTATCAACATGCTTTGAAAGAGCAATTTATAATAGCTGCTTATAATTTACCAAACCGTTCTTCTATTGTTGGACATTTACGTTGTTCACAAATTTTGCATATTATAAATAACTAAAGCTAGGAAAACATTTTACACGTGTGGTTTTTATTCTGGAAATTGGATCTTTTCTGAAGCCAAGTTCTGCGTAATATTTTGACTGAGTACTAGAATGCCTTCTAAGGGGCCTGCCTGCCACCAGTTGGCCTCCACTTTCACCTCTCCCTGCACTGTTGCCAGAGTTATTTCCCAAATACAATTGATGATGTCCCTTCCCGGATTATAACTCCAGTTGGCTTTCTGTTGCTTACAGCGTGAAGCCATGTTCTGTTGTAGCTCAAGTGGTCTGTGATAAGTAGCTCTCAGCCTTCAACAGGTACTCTGCTATGGGTTGAACTGTGTCCCCTCAAAAAAGGTCCCAGTACCTCACAATGTGACCTTATTTGGAAGTAGGGTCAGTGCACATGTAATTAGTTAAGATGGGGTCATAACTGGAGTAGGCTGGGCCCTTAATCCAATATGACCACCGTCTTGAGAAGAAGATAGCCATGTGAAGACACAGAGACACGGGGCAAATGCCAGGTGAAGACAGAGGCAGAGATAGGAGTGATGCATCTACAAACCAAGGAAGGCCAAGGACCATCAGCCATCACCAGAATCCAGGAGACTGGCATGGAACAGATCCTTCCCTCACAGCCCTCAGAATCCCACTGACACCTTGATTTTGGACTTTGAGCCTCCAGAACTGTTATGCAATAAACTATTGTTTTAAGCTACCCAGTTTGTAGTACTATGTTACAGCAGTCCTAGGAAACTAATACACACTCAACCTCCCTATCACTCTGAACAGCCAATTCTTCCTTTTCAGAGCTTTACAAATACTCTTGTCACCTAAGAATGTTATCTATGTCTCCTTCCAACCCCACTACTCTGCCTGGCAAAGCTAAGACTTCTTTCCAATATCTCTTCTTGGGTGAACCTTTTCTGCTTTTCCTTTTGCCTCAGGAAGTTGACTACATAAACCCTCATTGGCCTATTGTAAATTGGACTTGCCCTGTATTATAATTATCAACGCTTCTTTAATATACTGAGATTTTTGAAAGCAGAGATCACATCTAACTCATTTTTGTGTATGAGTTAATGAGATCTTAATTGACACACTTCACAGAAGATGCACAACATGGTGGACACACTTTGGAATGACTCTGGAGTGAAACAGACCAGATCTGGTTTAAAGTTTAGGCTCCACACCTTATCAGCTACTGGAATCCTGGGCAAGTTGCATAACCTCTCTGAGCCTCAGTATCCTCATCTATAAAATGAGGTTAGTAATTTCTTTCTAATGGGTGATGAGAAATTGATGAGGTATCCTATGTGAATGTGCATACAAACATGGTAGGCCTTTAGTAAATGTGTACCTTTTTCAACATACAATTACCATTTTTTTGTGGAACATGTAGATAAGACTATAAAATATAAAGTTAGCATAAATATCTAGAAACAAAAGGCTGATTCTTGCAAAATTTATTTTTTTAAATGAGACATACTTCATTCACCAATTACTAACAGGATCACACTAAATAATTACCATCTTGTCATTTTGATTAAAGAGCTTTGTGGATCTTGCTTGGTGTGTTTACTGGGGATAACTTAACTTTTGGCAATCCTAGAAGTAAAAAATGAAAAACAAGGGGGAGAGAGAGAAAAAAAACAAACCAAACCAGAAACAGAACAGAGGGAAATAATCTGTTTCCCCGACAGGTCTCTGCCAACATCTAGTTCCCTGATGACTCATTTTTTCCCTCGGGAGAGGAGTTATTTAGTCCATAATCATTCTGACCCTTGGACCTTTCTGAACAAAAATGAGCATTGAGGAATGAGCCACACTGTAATTCCAGCCGAGACCCAGGCTCACAGCATACCTCAGGGATCCCGAGGGAGCCCTGCACTCACACAGACGTGACCTGAACAAAGGTAGTAGAGTTCTGTCAGGATTCCTAACCCAATGCCAAGGCCCTCCCAGTTGCTACAAACTGGTTACAGATGGAGCCTTATTATTTTTTTCCGGTGAACACACAAAGCAAAGGTAACAAAATGAACACGTCAAGCCCAGCCCTTCAGAAGTCTTGTAAACCACTTACATCTGTTCTCATCAGCTCCATATCTAGCAATTTCCTGAAAATAGAGTGCATTTGTTTTCTTTAATGCTGTAACTTGTCGATCATAAGAGATGATCCTGAGACCATTAAACTGAGCTCCATTAGAACTGACACATTTTTATAGAACATTACTGTCTCAAAGCAGGATAAATGAGGCTCAGGACAGGCATAGCAGTCCTTTATTTTAAGGTTCAGGTCTCTAAAACAGAAGGAAATGGTAACAAACAATACCTGATTCTAGCAGTAGAGCAGAGGAGCTCACACTGCCCAGTTTAACTCTTGGCTTTGCCACTTTCTAGCTACTGCTGCAGTTTCCTTATCTGTCATATGAGGATAAGAACAGTACCTTTTTAAAAGCTTGCTGGAGAGATTAAATGAGATGATACATGGGCAATGCTTAGGACTGCATTTAGTACATAGTAATCCCTCGGAAATGAATGCTATTAATATAACTGTTAATATTGTTGACTCTTTCAGATTTCTGCAAAAGGCATTATCTCTATCTACAAAGAAACACTTGGGGCAACTCATTCTTTTTCTCAAACTAGCACATTTCTGGGAATAATGTGGGATTTAAGCAATAAGTTGTCATCTAAGACAAAGCAATTCAGAGGGTGAATTATTCCAGGCATGTCTTGCCTGGAATGGCCCTAAAATGTTCCTCTGTGCCCAAAGTTTATTATAAAACATCCATCAGAGTCTTACAAAGTATACTCCAAACCACAAGGGCTGTTAAATCTCCAATCCACCCACTTTCAACCTCAGAAACTTCTCAACTCCATGCTCCAGGCAGCCAGCACCAATCAGCTGAGGTTGGCAAGGGGATAAAACAAAACCTATTTGTCATCTATAACATAAAACACAACTTGCAAAGAGGGTATGCAATCCATTTTATAATGGAGGTAGTGGGGGAGAGTAATAACCTCTGCCTTATGAACAAATGTCATCATACAAAAATTTACTTCTATGTAGTCTCAGGAGGTAAACTGTGAGAAGAAACCATTATTTAATTCAAAGTATATTTGAAATTGGTGAAATATTGAAGTGGGTAAGGAAGTTTTGTGTTTTAATTCTTCCAGGATACCACCAGGATACCACTCTTATATAGAAGCATTAACTCATTGCACAGTAAATTAGCAGCCCAAGGCAGAACTTCCAAATGCCTATGCCAGGAATAACAATAATGCCCCTTTCAACCCTTGTGGCTTCTGAGGCTGGGGTGTTTGGGACAGCCCTATCCATGGCCATGAGGAGGCTCCTCCATGTACAGCAGCTGCTGTGTAAATATTTTCATTTTTATGTGTGCTATGACCTGAAAAGTTTAGGAAATGAATACATTTAGGTTTACAATATACATTTAGTATTTACGTTTACAGAATACTATATACATTAAGGTTTACAGAATACATTTAGTATTTATAATACTGGTTTAGGAAATGAATATATTTCCAGAGTCCCCTCATTTGTGACCATGGCAAAGCTTAAGCATTATATGGCTTATCCGAATCACGGTGTATGATACTAATAGATTCTAGTAAAACTATATACGCATTCTTTATCTGAGAGCTCAGGCCTGTAATCAAAATTCTGTTAGGGTTAGTTTGTTTGCAAGGGACAGAGAAGCATTAAGGGTAGCATGAACAGTGAAAGCTTTTCACAAGGTCCACCAAGGGAGGCAGGAATCCTACAGGAAAAAATACATGGCCTGTTCAGAGACAGGATATGGAAGCCCGAAGCTTGAGAGAGGCCTCAGCCACAAGAGAGTCTGGGTCTTCATCCTGACACTCCACTAGTAACATGACTTGGCTATATTCTCTCTTTGCTTCCCTCTGGTTGTCTTACATTTTCTCCCAGTTGGCTTTTTCGCCCTCTAATTTTTCCACTAGTTCTTTGCTTCTATCTATTTCTAGGTTCTGATTCTCATAACTTCAGCCTCCTAATTCCTCCTGGTCCCTACTTCTACCCAATGGTCAATTTTAATCTTTCTTTTTCTCCCTCCCTCCTGCCCTCTGTATTTTTCAGTGTCCATTCCTGCTGCTAACTCCCTATTTCCCTTTACATTTTCTAGTCCACATTCTGGAGAATAAGAATCTGGGTGGCCCTACCAGTCCTTGTCTGGGCAGAACCTCAGGCCTTTTCCCAGGCCACTCACCAACCTGTGGTTTGACTGATCTTGGTTCAAATGCTTACTGGCTGAGAGGGACTGGAGTCATGGGGTTCAAAACATGTCCCTTCAACAGAGCTGTGATGGGTGGGACAATTTTCCTTTGACAGTCTCTAGGTACAAAAGACACAATATATCAAGAACAAGCTCCCTCAAGTGAACAAGGTTTTATGTTTCCACTTATCAAAAAAGACCTCTTAAATACATTCACTGTATCATAAATAAATACTTTTGGTAATTTCTTTTTCTTTCTTCTTCTCTTTTTCCTTCTTTCCTTCCATCCATCCATCCATCCATCCATCCACCTATCTATCCATTGACCCACCCATCCATCCAACAGAAACTTACTGATTCCATCTATCTCAAAAAAAAAAAAAATATGAGATCTCTGATAATCATAATGGTCCTCAAGGACCATAAATCTACTAGGCAAGACAAGTTATCTGTGAAAATAATTTTAAGTGCCCTAAGAACAAAATGCCATGGAAATTCAAAGGAGAAAGACATCTTTTGGCTGGAGCAGATGACATTTCAGCTGGGGCCTGAAAGATGGGGAAGATTCCAATATTCATAGCAGACATAATGAACAAGATGAGCCTAAGTCTAAAGGTAGTAGAATTTTGTTACATCAAAATTCAGATTTTGGCAATTAAAGTTATAGGAGAAAAGTATAATTGTAAAAAATTCAAACCAGACTAAAAATATATAGCATAAAGTTTGTCTCTCCTCGTTGTTCACTTACTCTTCCATGAATCTTCCTTTCCAAAGGTAACTGCCATTAACTGCTTTCCATGAATTTGTGAGATGTTTTTCTATATCATTAAATTGAAGCTTTATAATTATTTGACTATTATATATTAACCCATTTTACAAAGAGGTAGGTTAAATAACTTGCCAAAAATCACACAGCCTAGTGTGTAAAGGGAGTTGAGATTTCAATCAAGTCCTGTTACTTCCAAATATTTGACTGTTTCCATCACACCTTGTGTGATGGGGCTGTTAGCTTGAAATTATATCAAAAAGCTCAAATCAGTCCTGTGAATAGACCTTGTTTTTAGGGGTAATTTTGTACAGAGCTAGAAGAAAGCTAAAGGTGGGTACTCACACATTAGCCACTTACAATAGAAAGTCCTATATATACTGAGATGGTGTTTCAGTTCTCCCCTGACCTAAACTAAAGTTGTACCATAAGCTTTATTTCTGTGTCCAACAGAAAGTAAATTCTACTCTAATAACAGAGTGCTAATGACATTGTTGAAGGTTTAAGAGAAATCAGACATGTCTCTCTTCTACAATATCGTTTAAAATAAACCCAATAAATTATTTACCAACTTTCTACTAATAGGAAAGCTAATTCCATTTACTCAAGCTTCTTTCTTTCACATCCAAAGTGAAACTTCTAAAGGAATATATCATAGGGCATATGAGGAAAACTCAAGTTTTATGGTTATAGAACACTTACCCCAGACTGCCATGAAAACAGCAAAGAAGACAGTGGCTCCATTGTCAAAAAGGTGGGTTACCTGTGAATAATAAGAATCGGTGCTGAGTTAATTTCTCATATATGATATTCCAATTCAAATTTTTTCAAGTTCTGTAAAAATAGCTGTGATTATATAATGAGTTTTACAGGCTTTGTTTTGGGTAGGGGGAATATTCCTTTTGAACCATAAATAAGAAAAGGCTTCCTCTAATTGCAAGGTAGTTCATATATAGAGGATACAATTTGTTCTCTTTATGTGGTTATCATCTAGTTGAACATTTATCAGCATCCCCAATAGTGCTACTAAGAATCCCCTTTTGTGCACAACAAAACTCTTATACACGTACATATGTGTATGGATATAGTTATATTTAGGACCAGGAAGGTATTGTTAGTGCTGCTTTAAAGGTTTTCAACTTCCCAAGCACTGTTTTTAATGCCTCATTTATTCACTTTGAAAACATGGCTATTTTGTTTATGCAGTTTTGAGCAAACATTTTCTGGGCTGCCCTCTGGATTTCAGCCTTATAAAAAAGAGCAGAACCATTAACTAAATCCAACTCTACCCTTATTAAAGCCTTGGGTAATCACTATATTTACCTACTGCACATAACACAAAGACAACTAGCAATACTTTATTGCTAGAATAATATATTCTATTGCAAACACCACAGAAGAAAGCAAAAATATCCATTTTTACTGCAAAACTGCCAAGCTCATTCCTGCCTCTAGTATAAATAATACCAATGTCCATGACAAATTGAAATGATGACTGATAGGTTCATAAAGAATAACCTTTTTTGGGGGTACTTTATAGCTACCTATAAAGTATACTTTATTGTTCCTTCGAGAATGCACCAAATATAAAGAGGTTTTTCATGTTATATCAGAACGTGAAGTATTTCAGATTATTCCAGAAGTTTCTCTTTCTTTGAATAGAGGAGAGATGGGCAGCACTCAAATACCTACTGTGAGACAAATGTCTGAAGCTAATCTATTTCATATGCCAGAGGGAATGTTAAGCTGTATATTGGGCACTCAGTATCAAACCAACCTTGAAGGTTCTAGCGGTATTTGACTGGACTGTGCTATCTATCAGAGTTTGTTGTTGTTTGTTTGTTTGTTTGTTTTTGAGATGGATTCTGACTCTGTCACCCAGGCTGGAGTGCAATGGCGCAATCTCGGCTCACTGCAACCTCCACCTCCTGGGTTCAAGTGATTTTCCTGTCTCAGCCTCCCAAGTAGCTGCGATTACAGGCACCCGCCATCATGCCCAGCTAATTTTTGTATTTTTGTAGAGATGGGGTTTCACCATGTTGGCCAGGCTGGTCTCAAACTCCTGACCTCAGGTGATCCGCCTGCCTCGGCCTCCTAAAGTGCTGGGATTACAGGCGTGAGCCACCGCGCCCAGCCTCTATCAGAGTATTTACTGAGAGTTGCTAGAAAGTGTAGCTTGCACCATCAGTGTCCATTCTGGAATGGACTGCAGTTATCATTGTTTTGGCTACCCAGATCATCTGTCTTCCATTCTCCTTTCTCCAGGTAACTCCTGCTGGTCCCAAGGGACACATGGCTCAAAATAGAACCAATCAGAATACTGCCCTGGGGCTGATACACAAACATTTGGAGACAGACAGCTTTCTGCTGCAGTTATCAATTTGACAATATATGAATGAGGAGGGGTAAGGTTATAGGGGCTCCGGTTCCCAATGAGATAGTCAGTTAGCTTAAGCTGATGACACCTTCTGCCAAAATCAGTCCTGGAGAAGCAAGGTAGTAGATTCCAGGAACTAACAAAACACAAAAACAAAAAACAAAGACCCTGAGAAACCTCAGGGGAGATGGGAGGTTATCTTGAACTGGTATGTGTGTGATGGTGGTGGTGTGTGGGGAGAGGTAGGTTGTAGATACCAGGTAGAGTGAGAGCACAGGTTAGAGAAATACATAAGCTCTACTCTAGCCTCTCTCCCTCAAATGGCCATTGGACAATTAGTTTCCCCTCCCTCAGAAATCAGCTAAGCAGGCCACACCACAGGTGCTGGTATTCCTGGAGCAATATCAGGGAATGCTCAAAGTCCTGCTCTGTTAGACATGGGTGAAAAGCAGGTGCTACCTGGATAGCTGCCCTGGGGCATTCACTCCATAGTCCACCTCCTCTTAAACCCCAGCATTGGCAGATTACAATCAAGGGAAAGTGCCCAATTCTGCTTTGTTCTAAGCAGGTTTAAAAATGAAACTGACCAGAAAAGTCCTCTGATAGAGCAGTAGCACTCAGTCGTGCCTGGGGCACGCTGTCCTCTCTGTAACTCACTAGGACTGACAAACTTGGCCTTGGCCTCTGACCCTTACTCAAAGTGGCTGACGCCTCCAGAGGACAAGTACCCAACAGGCCAAAATAATGAAATATATGGGGAAGACAACAACCCCTCCCCTCCAAAGAAGATTCCCATAGACACAGTGTGGCAGCAGACCAGGAGTTTAAAATAAGCACAAAAATCCACTTAAGGAGACAAGGGAAGGAAAACGTAAGCCTGGAGCCAAGGCAGCTGGTAGCCATCTTTTCTATTGTACAGAGAACTAGTCTACAGAATGATCATGTGGGCAGGGCCACCGGGGTCCCTGGAGGAACAGTTCCAGGCTGTGAGGCCCTCATGATCCCACAGCGTGAGCCACCCCAGTATCTGTTCTGGCAAAATGTACCATTACATCACTTTCTGACTAAGCCAGTAGGAGTTGGGTTTCTGATTCTTGCAAACACAAGAGTCAAGGATACAGCATCCCTATCAGCAGAACAGCCACTGATTGGACTAGATCCCAGCGCCAATCTGATTTAATATTTCTGTGTATCCACAGTCCCATGAAATCACTCTGACATCTCTAATAAATATTTCTAAAGGAAACCCTGTATAACTCCAATTCTGTCATTCTAAGGCTTTTTATCTTTCATTTTACTAAGTTTCTAGGCAAGGCCAAATGTTAAATTCAGAATCTAAACATCTTGTGGCTCAGCAGGGCACAGTGGTAAAGAAGGCATGTTTTGCAGTGCAATAAACCAAGGCCCAGCTACTTATTGCTGCATGACCATGCATGAGTAATTTTTACCTCTTTGAGTCTCTGAATAAAATGGAAATAATAACACCTATCTTGAAGTTGCTGTGAGAATTAGAAATAATCAATGTAGATTGTCTAGCTATTATTATAGCTGTAACTATTATAATTATTATTGTTCTAGGTCTTAAGTTAGGGAGAATAACTCCCAAAATAAGCCCCTATAAAATCTGAGCACTCATAAACTATTCATGACGATTCTTTAAAAGAATTATTAAGGATCTCCTAAAAAGAGAATTTTACTCAAGCATATCTTTCCACATTAAAAAAAAAAATTGGCTTCTGATTTTGGGGTTTCCCCAGAAGCAGAATTTTAAAACCTGAGTCATTCAGGCTTATATCTGACCTTTAAACAAAATTATATTACTGACAAAGCTCTTGATGCTCACCAAATCTCTATGTCCTAAAGTCACTCTGTTAAATTTATCCTTATCCACTCAGGTCTATCTGAGTGTTTCCTAAAGATAGGGCTCAGAGCATTTTGTGCTTTTTTTGTCCCTTGCAACATAAGAGCTCAAATCTTTCTAAAACCACTGCTCACTGCTGCAGTCTGGGCTCCTCCTACACAGACCGGCCACCTGCAGTACTAAAGACATTATAGATAGGCGGGATCCTGGGTTGCCTATCAAATGTTCCCTTGTTTAAAATGAACAAAACTCTGCAATGCCAAGAGAGTAATTAGATAGATCCAGGCTTCAGTGATTACAAAAGCTGGATAAAATCTGCCAATGCCATTTATATCTGAATCTGGGCAAGCCAAAAGGCAGTAGCTCTTGGAAAAGTCTTCGCAAACTCAAACTTCAGCTATTGTTTTGTGTTATGGACACCACCACCTAAGTATCAAAAAACTCTAGGAATGTGAGGAATATGTCTAAGAAATAAAGTAAGGCATATCACGAGAAAGAGGTATGCAATAACACATAATAGAAATAGTGGTGTCATGTATTTTTTTTCTCATAGCACTTTCACATATATTCTCTTCTTTAGTCCTCACGTCATGCCAATAGGGTAGGACAGAGAGGACACATATTTCCTGTATTTTAGAGACAAGAAAGCTCAGAAGACTGAGCTTCTTTCTATGAAAAAAGAGTTTCTTAGAAAGGGGGCACATTTCAGGGCTAAAGAGGTAAGTGGCTGAGCTAGCCTTAATTGGAGGTCATTTTGACAATAATGATGATGAAGAGGAGGCAAATGATGATAGCTGTCATTTACTGAGGTCTATTTACCAAGCACTATGCTCAGTATACACCTTAACTCCGTGTGAAACAAGCATCATGGTCTCCATTTTGCAGATGAGAAAACTGAGACTCAAAGAAGTTAAATATCTTATTCCCAGATAGAGAAATGGTAAACAGCAGAGTCAAAATTTGGACCTAACTTTCTCTGACTCCAGCACCGTGCTCCTCACACTGTGCCATGCTGCAGCTCCATGGATGATGTCTAGAGCCATGCCTTCCAAATACATGGACAATTAACAAAGATATGGGAATTAGAATACTGAATGATGGAGATAAGTCTATCCTACAACATTCACTTGAAAATCAAAGACTGGAAATGACAGAATAGAGTTACCCACCATCCCTCAGGAAGGTGTATGTTAAATTCAATTCATCTAAAATGCTACAGTTTGAAATTACCTTGGCATATACACAGCTGTCTGACAGCCTCATGAATGGACAGTATTTATCACACACAGGACACATGATGATATCTGTAGCTTGGCAGACTTCTTTACTGGAAAAGAGAACAGAAAGGACTGCTTTTTGATGACATGGAACATTTTTTTCTAACTTCACCAGAATGTTCAACTAGTAAATAAGATCCAGTAGGTTAAATGTTTGCCCTTAGAAGCATCTTAGCTTTATCTGTTATTAATGTAAACAAGTTCTTGCCCATTTAAATAATTTGGTAAACCTACTTATGAGGCTGTTCCTTATCTTTATGTATTAATAAGTTAAACTCAGGAAAATACATGAAGCCAAACATTGATTGTTATATCCCAAATTATAGAAATGTCCTTCACTTTTCAAAGGTCTGAAGCAATTTCATACTGAATTAAGGGAGTAAGAAGATATATAAAGATACTTATCTTGATCTCTATGTGTATGATAAGTTAAAACTAATATGGAAAACAAAACATAAATGACTAGAGATTCTAGCCCTATCCTGGGGGAAAACTATATTTAACTAACACATTAACAATTTCACCAGAAAGTAAAATGTTTTCGTAGGTGGAAGGCTTAATCACTCACTTTTATTTTTGCAATCACATTTAAAAGGCATATTTACAATTTAAGATCATTGTCCAGCCTTGCAACAAGATCTCTGTGAGTACCTTGACCTATATTCTGGTGAGACAACCAAGATAATGGTCATCGACACTGAACCGCTCCCAAGATACTAGCAAGCTGGTGAGATGTCTTTCTGGCTCAAGTTGTAAAAACACAGAATTCATAAGAGAGAATTGTTAGTTCACTATTTTGCAGTATCAGCTAAGAAAAAAAGTGAAAAAGTAAAAAAAGAGAGCACTTATAGCCAGTGAATGAAGGCGGCTTGTTCTGTGGATATATAGTGGCTTGTATGTCTGAAAAGGTAACTTTTACTTGCATGGTATCTGAAGACCATGGCAGCAAGGACAATGGATGGAGAGGTCCTAGTGAACTGAAACTTTGAGTTTTTCCATGAGAGGGTAGGAAGTTTGAGTGAAAAGCTAAATGTCTCCACAATCTGTGAATACCCCCAAAGTGCAAACAGCCACCTCTAAGTACTAAACAAAGGCAAACTCATCCAAGAGCTCCCCGTACCTGACTTGGCTGTGATCCAGAGTGGTGACGCCATACAAAAAGACAAACAATCCAATGAAGGCAGCTGGGAAGAGCATGCCGGTGTACCAGCCCAACCAGGCAAAATATAACCCAATCTTCTCTCCAAAGTACCGCCTGTTAAAGACACAACGGCCTTGCAAATTACAGTGCAGTGTGTAAAGTTAAGCATTATGAAACTTCGTATAGTCATTTTACTTTGTAGCGGCCTTACGAGGTAAACTGCAAGCAAGGTAAGCCAAGATAAAAGAACATCCCATCAAATCTAGGATCTGGGCTTACATTTCTTCTACTACTACTCTATAGCAGAACTAGAATTAGCCCTTCCATAAAATAACATGGTTGTATACAAGCTTATTCTGAGAAGACAGAATGGACTGGAAGGGGCCGGAGTGGGCAAAGGGAGACCAACCAGGCACACAGCTGTCATAGTCCAGGTAACAAGTGAAGGCAGTGGAGATGCTGAGGTGGGGCCCGATTCGAGAGATATGGTGGAAGTAAAACCTATAGGATAGGAACTGTCTAAGAGATGACATTCCCTAGATGCTCCACAACTTTCATTCTACTCAAGGCTTGGTTGTGCTTTTCATCCCCCTTTATTTGCCCAACATAAATGCCACTGTTCTTCAGGGCTCAGCTCTCCAGAGACTTCCACAGGGGTGCTGCCACATCCGTTCTTTCCATTTTTCTGAATTACTGTAAAACTTATGGCCTCTGTCACACATTTTACCTAATTATGCATGGCCTTGTATTTTCTTTTCTCGATGTTTCAAGTATGCAGGGCCTGTGTTGCTGAGGAAAACTGAGTTTTTCAGAGCCAGAGACCATTTGGCGTCTGTTTGGCTTTGCCAATAGTACTTAGCACAGTACTAGATACACAATAGACAGTTAATTAATATGCATTGACTAACCAAAACCGCAAAATCTTAATCAAAATACTGTCATGAATGGGAAATGTGCTGCCTACAGCAATTATCTGTGATTTCTAATCAATGTAATCCTGTAACATGGCACCGAGGCTGGGAAGAGAATTTACTTTTGTTTTTCCCCCCACTGTTTATCATACACTGAGTCTGACCAAAGGAAAATGATCTTATCTCAGAAAATATTTTCCATTCACTAAGATTATCTGGATTATCTGTTACCAACACAAGGAATGGATCACAATTCATCAATGCCCTTGGAACACTTGGTGATAAGGGCTCAAATATAAAGTGCATTGTCTTTTGTTTGTCCTCCCCTCTGGGCTCATTTTATTTTATGGCCCTGGTATTTAAGTGAAACAACACATCTAGCTAGTCTAGGAAATGAGACATGACTTTCTCTTTAATAAGGAATCCAGGAAATGTGGGTTGTTATTACCCAATCTTAATAACCAGCCTCTAAATAAATAGAGATGTCAGAGAATAATGCTGCCAAGGCAGAAGGTTGGGAAGATATAGATAGTTAAAAAAAAACACACACATATATTTACACACACATACACCATGGGATACTATGCAGCCAAAAAAAGGATGAGTTCATGTCCTTTGCAGGGACATGGATGAAGCTGGAAACCATCATTCTCGGCAAACTATCATAAGATCAGAAAACCAAACACCACATGTTCTCACTCATAAGTGGGAGTTGAACAATGAGAACACATGGACACAGGGAGGGGAACATCACACACCAGGGCCTATGGGGGGTGGGGGGCTAGGGGAGGGATAACATTAGGAGAAATACCTAAAGTAGGTGACGGGTTGATGGGTGCAGCAAACCACCATGGCACATGTATACCTATGTAACAAAACTGCATGTTCTGCACATGTAACCCAGAACTTAAAGTATAATAATAATAAAAAAACATACATTTCCACTTCACAATTATCATAGGTTAAAAGCTGATATACTTTTTGATCTGCAGATTAAAACAATCTTTAAAGGTTATTAGTTCTGAATGAAAACTAAGCCTGAAATGTATTGGAATGACAGTACTCCATTTGTCCTATTTGCTAACAGTAGTAAATATTTTACTTTGTCAGTAATATATGTAAGCAGTGTTACCTTTGTACAAGATGGTTTGTCAATAAGACTCACATGGGTGACTCGCTTCTTACGAAGTCTTGTGACAGGCCTGGCTGATCTCACATGCCCATTCCTGGGCCCCTCTCTAAGACTCTTTTTGGGGGAAATTCCATCCTCATCAGAGCGATGGTAGGTTTACCAAGAACAGCTGATGTCCTCAGATGAGTTTCCTCTTGTGAAGAAGCCAGATATGAGTGAGAGCTGTACACTTCAGGCTCTTTTTGCTTCATTGGGAGCTTGTCCCAGCTGACAGTCTGCCCTAATCATTCTGTGCAAGCTTTATATTTGCAGCTGATTAAAAACTCACCTTACAAGATCCAAAGGTTGGTATTTATACCACACGCCCCAGGAGGCCCAGCACTCATAGAGTAGATGTCGGTGGTTTTCTGCTCCATGGGTTCGAATGGAGTTTTTACTTCTATAACTTCCCTGGGATAAAAACACCACTGCCAGTGAGGTAGTACTCACAAAAGTCACAAGGAAATGCTGATGGTAATGTAAGTGTCTTACAGCAGGTGTTGTGATAGGAGTGGTATGAGAAAGAAATGAATCCTCTCTATTAAAGGGCAGGCAGTTTGATGAGTTATTCTGGACATTGTCTTGCTACTGCTGATATCTAGTAAAATGCACGTGCTTGCTATAATCAGGAAGGTTTGAACTGAGTTCAAATTCAATTCTGCTACTTTTCAGCTAGAAGATCCTGGGCAAGTTCCCTAAATGCTCTGAGCTTTGGTTTCCTAATCCATAGTGGAACTAATATTTGTCCCATTTGGTTTCTTATGTGGTTTGAATGAATAAAGTGTCTGGCCCAGGGGCCATGCCCAAGGCTTATTAGTTCTCTTCCCTACTTCTTTTTATTTATTTATTTGTTTATTTTTTGAGACTGGGTTTCACTCTGTTGCCCAGGCTGGAGTGCAGTGGCGCAATCTCAGCTCACTGCAACCTCCGACTCCCAGGCTCAAGCAATCCTCCCACCTCAGCCTCCCAAGTAGCTGGGACCATAGGCATGTGCCACCATGCACGGCTAACTTTTGTATTTTTTGTAGAGATGGGGTTTTGCCATATTGCCCAGGCTAGTCTCGAATTCCTAGACTCAAGCGATCTGTCCCCCTCGGCCTCCCAATGTGCTGGGATTACAGGTGTGAGCCACTGTGCCTGGCCTCTCTTCCCACTTCTTTCAAGATAGGATAGTTGGTAAACAGCCATAGTTGTAACCTTGTCACAATGTTATCGACAAGAAAATTCTAGAATGTAAAAGCTGGAAGTCACTTCAGAATTCTTGTAATTCAAATTTAATTCAACCTCCTCATTGAAGAAGTGAGGAGACAAAGGGCCAGAGAAGTGCATGTTTTTCTGAGGTTAGTTTGTGGCAATGATAGTTTCACAAAGAGAAACGGTACTTTCTGGAGGCAAGCTAATTATTCATATTAAGTGGAGAAGCCCTTTCTTATTTATTTATTTATTTATTTTTGCTAGAGACAATGTCTCAATATGTTGCCCAGGCTGGTCTCGAACTCCTGAACTCAAGCAATACTTCCACCTTGGCCTCCCAAAGTGCTGGGGTTACAGGCCTGAGCCACCACACCTGATAAGAAGTCCTTTCTTAATGGAAAGAACACAGGGCTAGGAGAAAGAAACTCAGGTGAGTCTCAGATCAACCACCAACTCATTGTGTGACTTAAGGAGGTTTCACCTTTCTCTAAACCTCTATCTAAATCTTTAACGTGAAACAAGAGCAGCAATATCTGACCTTCTGCCTTTTTGCCTCTGAGGTTAAATAATATAATCAAGTTAAACTGAGAGTAAAAAGTCAGAAAAGCAATGATGCAATGATTGCTGCTGCTATTACCAATTTGGAACTTCTCATAGAATACAGGGCTTTACTGAGATAGGAAAGTCATTGTGAAAGGCATGAGTCACTCTGTGGGGCTTTGTAGCTGCATCTCCTCAGACACTCCCATGCCCACCCACCCACTCCCCTGCACAGACGCTTCTGCCACTTACCATATCAGACACAGCCCATACCATGAGCTGGGGCTGAGAGCAGGGAGGATGCAGTTCTCACAAAACCCTTTTCTGGGCAATGCCAACTAACAATGACATGATGAAGCCACATGATGTTTTGGGGAACAGTATGTCTTTAGAGTTCAGAAACACCTGCGTATGGCTCTAGCAAACCTTTGTGTCAAAATGTTTGCTTCTGTCATAGTAAATGGAGCATTCCAAACACATTTCCTGGCAGTCTAAACAGAGTTTCAGATGGCAGCTTCTGGTTTTCTTAATAAATAAAGTTCTGAAAAATCTACCTCATCTTTTGCACCCTCTTAGTGTTTAAAATTAAGAGAAGTACCACTGTAAGCCAAAAAAAAGTATGTTTTGGAAAGACTTGCCATTTACGGAGAGTTGGAACCGTCTTCCAAAGTCTATTGACAAATTATTACCATTGTTTCCAACAGGCTGTACTGAACATCAGCTAACAGTTGCTGCACATTGGCTACTTTGTGAGGTCCCAGAGGACAGAGGCTATGACATTTATCTTTGTATTCTCTGTGCCATATAGTGACCACAGTAGGGGTGCCACACCATGAAAATGACAATAATTTCTCAATAATCATGAGGGATTATGTTCCTAAAAACCCAGGTGTAGGGGAATTCTGGATTAAATAATTCTGTGGAAAGTAGAGCTGGGGTAATCAGTTACACTTGCGAAAGTAATTTATATGATGGAGACTATGTAGGAAATAGAGTCACAGTATTTATACATCTTAGGTGAACAATGATGAGTACAACATTATTAATTTTTATTTGTCACCCGTTGGTTACCAGAGACTTTTCAAGATGGCTTCCTCCCACTCTTTTAAGCAATAGCTATACATTTATTTGTTGCAAAGACTATATATTTCAAGAACATTCTTCTTGTGGATTTGGTGCCTCATGCAAATTGTCAATGCCTTTTTAATTTTAAGACTTAAAGTCTCTAAGCCATTCCTATGAATTCATGCTGCATGACTATTGATTTAAGTATTCTCGCAATTACATGAAAAGATATATAGAAATAAGTCTATGCTGAGGAAGAGATATAACAATTGAAGTAGACCCTCCCTAATTACCCATTGAACAAATTAAATTCATTCTGAGCAAATGTCAACAAATTCAATTATTGACTATCTCTAGAAGCTGACTTTAGTAACAAACGATTGAAAGAAAGATAAAGATTAAAGACAGCACAATACCTCATGCAGGGGAAACGCAGCTTCATAGGAGCCATTGGTAAGCAAACGATTCAGACCTAAAACAGCAAATAAGTCCATTTGAATTAATACAGAGTTTGAATACTCACAATGTTCAAAACAAATATAAGTGTGGTGCTTTTTGGAGGAAACAATCTAGGCTATCAACCCTCTTAGGGGCACCAAGAGTTAGAAAAAAAGCTCTGCTGCCGTGAAATTGGGATCAAGGGCTGGGAAATTCACTAAAAAAATTAAAATATTTGACCGTCAAATAAAGATCGAATCTATTCAAAGTTTATAATGTGATGACTTGATATGCATATACATTATGTAATGATTACCACAATCACATTAATTAACACATCTATCTCCACCCATGCTGTACATTAGATCCCCAGAACTCATTCATTTTATAAATGAAACTTTATACTCTTTGATCAACACCTCCCCATGTTCCCCATCCCCAGGGCCTGGCAACCACTATTCTACTCTCTGTTTCTAAGAGTTTGGCTTTTTAAGATTCTACACATAAGTGAGATCATGCAGTATTTGTCTTTCTGTGTCTGGTTTATTTCACCTAGCATGATGCCTTCCAAGTTCATCCATGTTGCAAATGGCAGGATTTTCTTCTTTTTTATGGTTGAACAATATTCCATTGTATATATGTACCACAATTCCTTTATCCATTCTTCCATCAGGGGACACTTGGGTTGTTTTCATATCTTGGCTATTGTAAATAATGCTGCAATGAACATGGACGTGCAGATATCTCTTCAAGATACTGATTTCAATTCCTTGGGATATGTACCCAAAAGTAGGATTGCTGTATCATACGGTAGTTCATTTTTTATTTTTTAAAGAACCTCTATATTGTTTTTCATCACAGCTGAACCAATTTACATTCCTACTAACAGCGCACAAGTGTTTCCTTTTCTCCACACACTTGCCAACACTTACCACTTTTTGATAAGAGCCATTCTAACGGGTGTGAGATGATACTTCACCGTGGTTTTGATTTGCATATCTCTGATGATTAGTGATATTGAGCACCTTTTCATATACCTGTTGGCCATTTGTGTGTTTTATATGGAAAAATGTCTATTCAGTTTCTCTGCCCATTTTAACTTTTAACATTTTTTTCCTTCTAACTTTTATTTTAGGTTCAGGGAGTACACGTGCAGGTTTGTGACATGGGTAAATTGTGTGTTGGGGGATTTGGTGTAATTATTATGTCACCCAGGTAATGAGCATAGTACTGACAGGTAGTTTTCCAATCCTCATCCTCCTCTCACCCTCCACCCTCAAGTAGGCCCCAGTGTCTCCTGTTCCCTTCTTTGTCCATGTGTACTCAATGTTTAACTCCCACTTATAAGTGAGAACATGTGGTGTTTGGTTTTTCTATTACTGCATTAATTCACCTAGGATAATGGCCTTCAGCTCCCTGGAATTACACCAGGAGCTCTTCTATTTTCATTCAGAAGCTTCATTATGGACAAACCTAATGCCTCTGCATTGGACTAGTGGTATGACTTTGGAAAAGTTCTCTTGTCCTCAGGACTCAATTTCCTCATCCATAAAATGGGAAGGGATGCGCAGATCTTTTTAAAAACAGCTTTACTGAGGTATAACAATCATACAATAGACAGCATAAGTTGTTTAATTAGATGTTTCGACATAAGTATATACTCATAAGACCATCAGTACGACTAAGAATCTAAACATATCCATTGCCTCCAAAGTTTTATCATGCCACATTCTAATCTGCCACCCTTCCCCGTGCTATCTCCAGGGCAAACACTGATCTGCTTTCTGTCACTATCAATTAGTTTGAAATTTCCAGAGTTTTATATAAATGGAATCATATAACATTTACTCTTTTTCATCACTCAACATAATTTGAGATTCATTCATGTTGTTGCAAATATCAGTAGCTCATTTCTTTTTATTGCTGAGTAGTATTCCATCACATGTAATAATTTGTTTATCTATTCTCCTGATGATAGACATTTGGGTCCTTTATAGTTTGGGGGCTATTACAAATTAAGCTGTTATGAACATCCATATACAAAACTTTGCATCAATATATGCTTTAACTTTCTTAGCAAATACCTAGAAGTGATTCCACTAGATCATATAGTAGATGAACATTTAACTTTTTGAAAAACTGCCACACTGTTTTCTTAAGTGGTTGTACAATTTTACATTTCCATCAGCAGCATATGAGAGTTCAAGGTCCTCCACATGGTATGGTCAGTCTTTTAAATTTTAGCCACTCTCATGGGTGTGTTGTGATATCTCATCGTGTTTAATTCTCATTTTTTAATGAATAATATTTAAAATCATCTTGTGTGCTGTTTGCCATCTGTATATCTTCTCTTGTGAAATGTCTGTTCATATCTTATGCTCAATAAGATTTTTGGATTCACTGAGTTTTGAGTGTTCTTTATGTATTCTAGAGGCAAGATATAGATGTCCTTTACTAGCCATATTTTTTGAAAACTTTTTTCTCCTAATGTGTGGCTTCTCTTATCATTCTATTTATGTATTTAAGTTTTGGGATACATGTGCAGATGTGCAGGTTTGTTACATAGGTATACGTGTGCCATGGTGGTTTGCTGCTCCTATTGACCTGTCCTCTAACTTCCATCCCCTCACCCTCCTACTCCCCAACAGGCCTATTGTGTGTTGTTTCCATCCCTGTGTCCATAGGTTCTCATTGTTCAATTCCTGCTTATGAGTGAGGGCATGCAGTGTTTGGTTTTCTGTTCCTGTCTTAGTTTGCTGAGGATGATGGTATCCAGCTTCATACATGTCCCTGCATAGGACATAATCTCATTCCTTTTTATGGATGTATAATATTCCATAGTGGATATGTACCACATTTTCTTTATCCACTCTATCATTGATGGGCATTTGAGTAGGTTCCACAACTTTGCTATTGTGAACAGTGCTGCAGTAAACATATGTGTGCATGTGTCTTTACAGTAGAATGCTTTATATTCCTTTAGGTATACACCCAGTAATGGGATTGCTGGGTCAAATGGTATTTCTGGTTCTAGATACTTGAGGAATCCCCACACTGTCTTCCACAATGGCTGGGGTAATTTACACTCCCAAGAACAGTGTAAAAGTGTTCCTATTTCTCCACAGCCTCACCAGCATCTATTGTTTCTTGACTTTTAAATAATCGCCATTCTGACTGGTGTTAGATGGTATCTCATTACGGTTTTGATTTGCATTTCTCTAATAATCAGTGATGTTGAGCTTTCTTCATATGTTTGTTGGCTGCATGTATGTCTTCTTTTGAGAAGTCTCTGTTTATATCCTTTGCCCACTTTTTCATGGGGTTGTTTTTTCTCTTGTAAATTTCTTTAAGTTGCTTGTAAATTCTGGATATTCGATTTCTGTCAGATGGCTAGATTGCAAAAAATTTCTCCCGCTCTGTAGATTGTCTGTTCACTCTGATGATAGTTTCTTTTGCTGTGCAGAAGCTCTTTAGTTTAATTAGAACTCATTTGTCAGTTTTGGCTTTTCTTGCAATTGCTTTTGGCGTTTTTGTCATGAAGACTTTGCCCATGCCTATGTCCTGAATGGTATTGCCTAGGTTTTCTTCTAGGGTTTTTATGGTTTGGGGTTTTACATTTAAGTCTTTAATCCATCTTGAGTTAATTTTTATTATTATTATTATTATACTTTAAGTTTTAGGGTACATGTGCACATTGTGCAGGTCAGTTACATATATATACATGTGACATGCTGGTGTGCTGCACCCACTAGCTCGTCATCTAGCATTAGGTGTATCTCCCAATGCTATCCCTCCCCCCTTCCCCCACCCCACAACAGTCCCCAGAGTGTGATGTTCCCCTTCCTGAGTCCATGTGTTCTCATTGTTCAATTCCCACCTATGAGTGAGAATATGCGGTGTTTGGTTTTTTGTTCTTGCGATAGTTTACTGAGAATGATGATTTCCAATTTCATTCATGTCCCTACAAAGGACATGAACTCATCATTTTTTATGGCTGCATAGTATTCCATGGTGTATATGTGCCACATTTTCTTAACCCAGTCTACCACTGTTGGACATTTAGGTTGGTTCCAAGTCTTTGCTATTGTGAATAGTGCCGCAATAAACATACGTGTGCATGTGTCTTATAGCAGCATGATTTATAGTCCTTTGGGTATATACCCAGTAATGGGATGGCTGGGTCAAATGGTATTTCTAGTTCTAGATCCCTGAGGAATCGCCACACTGACTTCCACAAGGGTTGAACTAGTTTACAGTCCCACCAACAGTGTAAAAGTGTTCCTATTTCTCCACATCCTCTCCAGCACCTGTTGTTTCCTGACTTTTTAATGATTGCCATTCTAACTGGTGTGAGATGATATCTCATTGTGGTTTTGATTTGCATTTCTCTGATGGCCAGTGATGGTGAGCATTTTTTCATGTGTTTTTTGGCTGCATAAATGTCTTCTTTTGAGAAGTGTCTGTTCATGTCCTTCACCCACTTTTTGATGGGGTTGTTTGTTTTTTCCTTGTAAATTTGTTTGAGTTCATTGTAGATTCTGGATATTAGCCCTCTGTCAGATGAGTAGGTTGAGAAAATTTTCTCCCACTTTGTGGGTTGCCTGTTCACTCTGATGGTAGTTTCTTTTGCTGTGCAGAAGCTCTTTAGTTTAATTAGATCCCATTTTTTAATTGTGGCTTTTGTTGCCATTGCTTTGAGTTAATTTTTGTATAAGACGTAAGCAAGCGGTCCAGTTTCAATTTTCTGCATATGGCTAGCCCGTTTTCCCAGCACCATTTATTGAATAGGAGATCCTTTCCCCATTGCTTGTTTCTGTCAGGTTTGCTGAAGATCGGATGGTTGTAGATGTGTGGTGTTATTTCTGAGGTCTCTGTTCTGTTCCATTGGTCTATGTGTCTGTTTTGGTACCATTATCATGCTGTTTTGGTTACTGCAGCCTTGTAGTATAGTTTGAAGTCAGGTAGCATGATGCCTCCAGCTTGTTCTTTTTGGTTACGATTGTCTTGGCTGTATGCGGTCTTCTTTGATTCCATATGAAATTTAAAGTAGCTTTTTCTAATTCTGTGAAGAATGTCAATGGTAGTTTGATGGGAATAGCATTGAATCTATAAATTACTTTGGGCAGTATGAACATTTTTACAATATTGATTTTTCCTGTCCATGAGGATGGAATGTTTTTCCATTTGTTTGTGTCCTCTCTGATTTCCTTGAGCAGTGGTTTGTAGTTATCCTTGAAGAAGTCTTTCACATCCCTTGTTAGCTGTATTCCTAGGCATTTTATTCTCTTTGTAGTGATTGTGAGTGGGAATTAATTCATGATTTGGCTCTCTGCTTGTCTACTGTTGATGTAAAGGAATGCCTGTGATTTTTTCACATTCATTTTGTATCCTGAGACTTTGCTGAAGTTGCTTGTCAGCTTAAGGAAATTTTTGGCTGAGATCATGGAGTTTTCTATATATACAATCATGTCATCTGCAAACAGAGAGAGTTTGACTTCTACTCTTCCTATTTGAATACACTTTATTTCTTTCTCTTGCCTGATTGTCCTGGCCAGAACTTCCAATACTATGATGAGTAAGAGTGGTGAGAGAGGGCATCCTTGTCTTGTACTGGTTTTCAAAGGGAATGTTTCCAGCTTTTGCCCATTCAATATAATATTGGCTGTGGGTTTGTCATAGTTTTTATTATTTTGAGATATGTTCAATCGACACCTAGTTTATTGAGAGTTTTTAGCATGAAGGGCTGTTGAATTTTATTGAAGGCCTTTTCTGCATCTATTGAGATAATCACGTGCTTTTTGTCTTTGGTTCCGTTTATGTGAGGGATTACATTTATTGATTTATGTATGTTGAACCAGCCTTGCATCCCAGGTGTGAAGCTGACTTGATTGTGGTGGCTAAGCTTTTTGATGTGCTGCTGTATTCGGTTTGCCAGTATTTTATTGAGGATTTTCGCATCGATATTCATCAGGAATATTGGCCTGAAATTCTCTATTTTTTGTTGTGTCTCTGCTAGGTTTTGGTATCAGGATGATCTGGCCTCATAAAATGAGTTAGGGAGGAGTCCCTCTTTTTCTATTGTTTGGAATAGTTTCAGAAGGAATGGTACCAGCTTCTCTTTGTACCTCTGGTAGAATTCGGCTGTGAACCTGTCTGGTCCTGGGCTTTTTTTGGTGGGTAGGCTACTAATTACTGCCTCAATTTCAGAACTTGTTACTGGTCTATTCAGGGATTCAACTTCTTCCTGGTTGAGCCTTGGGAGAGTGTCTGCGTCCAGGAATTTATCCATTTCTTCTAGATTTTCTAGTTTATTTGCATAGAGGTGTTAGTAGTTTGTATTTCTGTGAGGTCAGTGGTGATCTCCCCTTTATCATTTTTTATGGGATTCTTCTCTCTTTTCTTCTTTATTAGTCTAGCTAGTGGTATTTCTTATTTTTTTCAAAAAAACAGTTCCTGGTTTTGGAGGGTTTTTGTGTCTCTATCTCCTTCAATTTTGCTCTGATCTTAGTTATTGCTTGTCTCCTGCTAGCTTTTGGATTAGTTTGCTCTTGCCTCTCTAGCTCTTTTAATTGTGATGTTAGTGTATCAATTTGAGATCTTTCTAGCTTTCTGATGTGGGCAATTTAGTGCTATACATTTCCCTCTTAACACTGCTTTAGCTGTATCCCAGAGATTCTGGTATGTTGTCTCTTTGTTCTCATTGGTTTCAAAGAACTTCTTTATTTCTGCCTTAATTTCATTATTTAACCAGGAGTCATTCAGGAGCGAGTTGTTCAATTTCCATGTAATTGTGTGGTTTTTAATAAGTTTCTTAATCCTGAGTTCTAATTTGATTGCACTGTAGTCTGAGAGACTGTTTGTTATCATTTCAGTTTTTTTGCATTTGCTGAGGAGTGTTTTACTTCCAATTATGTGGTCAATTTTAGAATAAGTGCCATGTAGCACTGAGAATGTATATTCTATTGATTTGGGGTGGAGAGTTCTGTAGATGTCTATTAGGTCCACTTGATCCAGAGCTGAGTTCAAGTCCTGAATATCCTTGTTAATTTTCTGCCTTGTTGATCTGTCTAATATTGATGGTGGAGTGTTAAAGTCTCCCACTATTATTGTATGGGAGTCTAAGTCTCTTTGTAGGTCTCTAAGAACTTGTTTTATGAATCTGGGTGCTTCTGTATTGGGTGCATATAAATTTAGAATAGTTAGCTCTTTTTTTTTTTTTTTAGACGGAGACTTGCTCTTTCACGAGGTTGGAGTTCAGTGGTGTGATCTAGGCTCACTGCAATCTCTGTCTCCCGGGCTCAAGCAATTCTCCTGCCTCAGCCTCCCGAGTAGCTGGGATTACAGGGACATGCCACCATACCCAGCTAATTTTTGTATTTTTAGTAGAGATGGGGTTTCACCATGTTGGCCAGGATGGTCTTGATTTCCTGACCTCGTGATCCACCCACCTCATCCTCCCAAAGTGCTGGGATTATAGGTTTGAGCCACCATGCCCAGCCAACAGTTAGTTCTTCTTGTTGAATTGTTCTCTTTATCATTATTTAATGACCTTGTCTTTTTTGATCTTCATTGGTTTAAAGTCTGTTTTGTCAGAGATGAGGTTTGCAACCCCTGCATTTTTTTTGCTTTCCATTTGCTTGGTAAATTTTCCTCCATCCTTTATTTTGAGCCTATGGGGGTCTTTGCACATGAGATGGGTCTCCTGAATACAGCACACCAATGGGTCTTTAGTCTTTATCCAATTTCCTGTCTGTCTTTTAATTGGGGCATTTTGCCCATTTACATGTAAGGTTAGTATTGTTATGTGTGAATTCGATCCTGTCATCATGATGCTATCTGGTTATTTTGCATACTAGTTGATGCAGTTTCTTCATAGTGTCATTGGTCTTTATATTTTGGTGTATTTTTGCAGTGGCTAGTACCAGTTTTTCCTTTGCATATTTAGTGCTTCTTTCAGGAGCTCTTGCAAGGCCAGCGTGGGGGTAACAAAATCCCTCAGCATTTGCTTGTCTGGAAAGGATTTTATTTCTCTTTCGCTTATGATGCTTAGTTTGGCTGGATATAAAATTCTGTGTTGAAAATTATTTTCTTTAAGAATGTTGAATACTGGCCCCCAATCTCTTCTGACTTGTGGAGTTTCTGCTGAGAGGTGCATTGTTAGTCTGATGGGCTTTTCTTTGCAGGTGACCTGACCTTCCTCTCTGGCTGCCCTTAACACTTTTTCCTTAATTTTGGCCTTGGACAATCTGATGATTATGTTTCTTGGGGTTGATCTTCTTGTGGAGTACTTTAGTGGTGTTCTCTGTATTTTCTGAATTTGCATATTGGCCTGTCTTCCTAGGTTAGGGAAATTCTCCTGGATAATATCCTGAAGTTTGTTTTCCAGTTTGTTTCCATTCTTCACGTCTGCTTCAGGTGGTACTCCAATCAATTGTAGGTTTGGTCTTTTTATGAAGTCCCATATTTCTTGGAGGTTTTGTTTGTTCCTTTTTATTCTTTTTTCTCTAATCTTGTCTGCATGCCTTATTTCAGTGAGGTGGTCTTCAAACTCTGATATCCTTTCTTCCTCTTGGTCAATTCAGCTACTGATACTTGTGTATGCTTCACAAAGTTCTTGTGCTGTGTTTTTCAGCTCCATCGGGTCATTTATGTTCCCCTCTAAACTCTCTCTAGTTATCAGCTCCTGTAACCTTTTTTCAAGGTTCTTAGCTTCTTTGCATTGGGTTAGAACATGCTCCTAGAGCTCAGTGGAGTTTTTTGTTACCCATCTTCTGAAGCCTACTTATGTCAATTTGTCCATCTCATCCTTCACCCAATTATGCCCTTGCCAGAGAGTCATTGCAATCATTTGGAGGGGAAGAGAAACTCTGTCCTTTTGGGTTTTCAGCATTTTTTCATTGATTCTTTCTCATCTTTGTGAGTTTGTCTAGTTTCGATCTTTGAGGCAGCTGACCACTGGATGGGGTTTTTGTGAGGACTTCTTTTGTTATTGATGCTGTTGTTGTTGCTTTCTGTTTGTTTTTCTTTCACTGGTCAGGTCCCTCCTCTGTAGGGCTGCTGTGGTTTGCTGGGGGTTCACTTTAGGCCCTATTTATCTGGTTCGCTCCCGCACCTGGAGATGTCACTCAAGCAGGCTGGAGAAGGCAAAGATGGGTGCCTGCTCCTTCTTCTGGGATCTCTAACCCGGAGGGGCTCCAACCTGATGCCAGTAGGATCACTCCTGTATAGGGTATCTGACAACCCCTGTTGGAAGGTCTTACCTATTTGGGTGACAAGGGAAATGGGACCCATTTAATGAAGCATTTTCACTGTCTCTTGGTGGAGGGAGTGTGCCTTGCTGGGTGGCATTCTGGGCTAAGTCTGCTGGTCTGCAGAGACTGCAGCCACTCCTCCCACTAGGGGATAAGGCCCAGGGAGATCCAGGTTCTGTCCCTGAGTCTCTGGCTGGAGTTATTGGAGTTCCTGTAGGGAAGCCCCACCATATAGGAAGTGAGGAAGGATATGTCAGTGCCTGAAGAGGCGCTCTTGTTGCAGTCTGCCACAGCCAGTGTGTTGAGCTGTGGGGGACCACTCTTGGGGACCAAGCCATCCAGCCTCCCTGGCTCCAGCAGGGGAAAAGCATGGCCTGGAGTTATAGAGATGGATGCCATCCTTTCCCCCACAGAGAGCTTAGCTTATCAGGCAGTTATGAGTCCCAGTGCTGGCTGCTGCCCCTCCCCCAAGGAGCTCAAATGGCTTAGGCAGCAGGCAGCAGCAGCTGTGGCACTGGTCACCCCTCCCCGCAGGAGCTCTGCAGGGTTAGGCAGATTCCAGCTGAGAGGTTGTTGAGAATCTGTGCAGCTCTGGGGTTGGCATTCTAGGTCCCAGTGGCGTGGGTTCCTGAGTGGGATCTTCTAATCCGTGGGTTGCACAGTCCCATGGAAAAAAGCACGGTTTCCCACGCTGGGTACCACACTCACTCACTGCCTCCCTTGGCTGGGGAGTGGGGGCTCCCCTGCCCCGTGTGGCTCTCAGACGGGCTGCCGCACCACACTGCTCTTCCTTCCTCTCTGTGGATCAAGTCTAGCCACCTAGTCAGTTCTGATGAGAAGATACCTTGGTTGCCAATGAAGGATTCACACATTAATGATGGTTCTTTTTGATGGGAGCCTCTGATCACTTCTGTTTCTAGTCAGCCATCTTGGCCCCACCCTTCTTTTCATTCTCTTGAAAACATCATTTGAAAAGGGAAGTTTTAATTTTGAAGTCTAGGTTATCCATTTTTTTCTTCTTTTATGAATTATGCTTTTATTTAAGAAACCCTTGGTTAACCCAAGGTAACAAAGATTTTCTATTTTCTCCTAGAATTTTTATGGTTTTAAATTTTACACTTTGAACTATAATCCATTTGAGTTAACTTTTGTATACGAGTTTTCCTAAATTCATTTTTTTGCATATGGGTTTGAATTCAGTATCATATGTTGAAAAGTCAATTCTTTACCCACTGAATTGACTTCGACCCTTTGTCTCAAGTCAAAGACTTGACTTTTTGTTCTTTTTCAGAGTTGTTTTGGCTATTCTAGGTCCTTTCATTTCCCTATGAATTTTTGAATTCATTTGTCAATTTTCACATATACACACACAAAACACCTTCTGGGAATTTGACTGGATTGTGCTGAATCTATAGATCAATTTGTTAAGACTGACCTCTTAACAATATTGAGTCTTCTGACTCATAAACATAGTATATGTCTCCATTTATTGGGTCTTCTTAAATTTATCTCAGCAATGTTTTGTAGTTTTCAGTGTACAATTCTTAAGTATCTTTTGTTTGATTTATCCTTAAGTATTTAATATTTCATATTTGGGGGCTAATTATAAGTGATTTGGTTTTTAAAATCTCAGTTTCTCACTGTTTGTTGCAGATTGAGAGAAATACAATTGAGTTTTTATATCAATCTCATTTTTTGCAACCTAGCTACATTCACCTATTAGTCCCTTTTAATGGATTCCATTGTGAGTTTCTTTATAGGTGATCATGTCATCTGATAATTAGGACAGTTTTAATTCTTTTTATTTTATTGCACTGGATAGTAAAATGAATACAAGTGGCAAGTGCAGACATACTTGTCCCGTTCATTATCTTGGGAGGAAAATATTCAGTCTTTTATCATTAAGCATAATTTTAACTATAAGCATTTCATAGATGTATTTTATGAGGTTGAGGAAGATAATTTCTATTAGTAGTTTGCTGAGTTTTTATCTGTAATGGATGTTGAACTTTGTGAAATGCTTTTCCCATGTTCATAAATATGAACATATGGTTTTTCTTTTTTAGTTTGCTACTATGGTGAATTATATTGATTGATTTTCATATACTAAGCCAACCTTGCAGTCCAGGATAAATTCTACTTGGTCATGATGTATTACCCTTGTTATACATTGTTAAACTTTATTTGCTAAATTTTCTTTATGTTTGCAGGAGGAAAGACTTTTCTGAGTATTCTCCTCACTGCTCTGTGAATTATGAGGTGTTCCAGTCTTACTGGAAATTCTTTTGGATGGTTCTTTCTCTGGCCTTGGGTATTCTCCGGACATGTATGCACTGATCAGCACTTGCTGAATACTTGAGGGAGACCCTCTACAGATCTTCAAGGTTCTAGCCCTGTGCAGTTCTCTGCTTTCTGGTACTTCCTTCTGTGAACTCTCGCTGCCTTCCGGTACTTCTTTCTGTGAACTCTCGCTGCCTTTGTTTCCCAACTCCTAGCAACAACTTCTCAACTTAGAGAGTCTTTCAGGTCCTGCCTACATTCTCACTTTTCATGGTGCTGTCTAGAAACTATGTCAAGGTGGTAAGATAGGGCCCAGCAGGGCTCATTTCATTTGTTTTCTGTCTCTCAGAGATCCTTGTTTTGGGTTGCCCAATATTCAGTGTCTTGAAAATAGTTGTTTCATACATTTTGTCTGTTTTTTCTTTTGTGATTGTTTCAGGTGGGAGAGTAAATCTTGTGCCTGTTGCTCCATCTTGGCCAGAAGTGGAAGTTTAACATGTTGATCTTTAAAGCTCCTTTCAGATCAAGATTTCTGCTACTTCCTAAAATACACCTCAAAGGAGATTATCATAATTTCTCAAGTGGCTTGAGAGGAATGCTACCTATGCTTTAGATCCTTACCAGAATCTAGAGGTTTAGCCTAACTGGAAAATGGCACATGCACTGATTCACTTTTCATTGATGGAGGATCAATCAATATTTAGATGCTTTTAATCATAGTAACACATTAATATGTTTTAAGATGCTTCACATTAATACTAAATATCTAAGAAAAACATTTGAAATCCAAATATCACAAGGCTTTATAGTTTGTCTAGCGCACCAGAGGCCCTCAATAAATACCTTTGTAATGAATTACTATGTAGAAAGCTTTGATTCCCTGGAGTCTCTATTGGGAATTCTACATATCTCATCAATAACTTTCAAACATCCCAGATGTTAGAAAAAATAGGATTCATAAGGACCTAATAAGAGACTCACATGATAACTTTTTTTTTTTTTGAGACAGAGTCTCACTCTGTTGCCCAGGCTGGAATGCAGTGGTGCGATCTCGGCTCACTGCAACCTCTGCCTCCCGGGTTCAAGCAATTCTCGTGCCTCAGCTTCCCAAGTAGCTGGGATTACAGGTGAGTGCCACCATGCTCAGCTAATTTTTGTATTTTTAGTAGAGATGGAGTTTTACCACGTTGGTCAGGCTGATCTCGAACTCCTGACCTCAACTGATCCACCTGCCTTGGCCTCCCAAAGTGCTGGGATTATAGGCATGAGCCACCGTGCCTGGCCTCAGATGATAACTTTTATAAGTTTATCATAATTTATCAAAGTCCTGCAAAGTGAGAAAGTAGCCAATATTTGAAATCTTTTTCACTTTACTAATTTCTCCTCTAAGCACCAAATTCAAAAATACAAATCAATTTCAAGATTTATTGTAT
The DNA here is from genome assembly GCF_000001405.40 of Homo sapiens. NCBI lineage: Eukaryota > Metazoa > Chordata > Mammalia > Primates > Hominidae > Homo > Homo sapiens. The sequence goes on along the minus strand of NC_000012.12, from coordinate 101,024,164 downwards.
GCACCCACATTGTTAAATAAATCTTTGTTGAGCTATTAAATGGCTCTATTTTGAAAGTGGGTTTCACCAGGTTTGATTTTTACAGTTGAAATAAATTCAGAGTGAAGTTGAAAAATGTACATAGTGGCAGTTTACATTCCACTAAAATATCCTTATGAATCATGTCTACAAATCAGTATTTTCATGTTATTTCTAATCGATGTTGGCTCATGCAAGATGCCACTTTCAGAAAGAGTTTCAGGCAGAAAATAATACTGGATAAACATTAGTTCTATCAAGAAATTAAAATTTCTTCTAACATATTATTTCTTTTATTTACAAAACCAAAGATGATAATGAAATATTGAATCTACAGGCCATTAGTAGTTTTGCTCCATGTTTTTCAGCATAATGCTTGGTTGTGGCTTAATAATTTACTATCTGATTGGTTATTTCTAATTAGATATGATTCCAGTTCATCATTACCAATTTTCTTTTATTATTTTCTTTTTCTTTGTTGTGACAGACTCCTGTTCTGTTGCCCAGGCTGGAGAGCAGTGGCACAATCTCAGCTCACTGCCGCCTTGACCTCCCAGAAGTAATCCTCCCATCTCAGCCTCCTGATGGCTGGGACTATAGGTACTGACCACCACGCCTGGGTAACTTTTTGTATTTTTTGTAGAGATGGGGTTTCACCATTATGCTCAGGCTGGTTTCAGACTCTTGGGCTCAAGCAATCCTCCTGCCTCAGCCTCCCAAAGTTCTGGGATTCCAGGCATGAGCCAATGTGCCTGGCCTATTACCAATTTTCAACACATGGAGGTCTTTGAATAGAAAACTCCTTATTTCATCAAATGAAAGAAACTTTTATAAAGACCCTTTCTGACTAGCAACAATACTACACTTCCTGTGCTTCTTCAGAACATTTAAAAATCACTGTCTCTGTCCTTCTTTTGCTTATAAAAGCATCCCACATTTTGAGACGCAAAATTAGGCACAATAATTTAAAAGCTTTTCAGTTCAGCACGCCTTTATTGAACTCCTACTATATGCCAGGCACTGTGCTAGGCAGTGATGATATAAAGATAAATAAGGCAGTTTATTTACAGTTAAGGATCTTATTATCCAGATGAGCAGCATTCAGCTGCAGATTCTTAATACACTAGTGTCTCATAAAGAGTCGTTTTGAGAGGCCGAGGCAGGCGGATCACAAGATCAGGAGTTTGAGATCAGCCTGGCCAACATAGTGAAACCCCGTCTCCACTAAAAATACAAAAAATTAGCCGGGCATGGTGGCGGGCACCTGTAATCCCAGTTACTCAGGAGGCTGAGGCAGGAGAATCACTTGAACCTGGGAGGCAGAGATTGCAGTGAGCTGAGATCTTGCCATTGCACTCCAGCCTGGGTGACAGTCCGAGACTCCGTCTCAACAAAAAAAAAAGAGTCATAAGTTGTACTGCAAATGATAATACCATTATTAGTGAAGATGCCATTTGGAGTTATTTGCATTTTATGAAGTGATTCAGAACAGCTACTGCAATAATAACTTCACTTTCACTCACTTGCTTTCTAGTATGTTTATGGTACAATGTTAACTGAAAAAAGTTCGTAAAAAGGATGCATAGCACATCCTAAGTTTGTTTCTAAAAACCATATGAATGAATAAGAAATTAAGATATAAAAGTAACTAAGGTAACATTTAAATTATTCAGTACGCAAATGTTATGAGTGGTTCTCTTTATGTGGTAGATTTTCATAATGTTATTGAATGTAGTTCAAGACAACAAAAGAAGAGTTGTATATGACTAACTATCAAATAGACTCCAAAAATAGTTGCCATAGGAATTCAGAAGAGAGAAGAATTCATTCAAGCTGGAATGGTCACAGAGGACTTTATTGAAGGAATGTGTTTCAAGGAAGGATGACTAATGCAGAGAAATGGGAATGTGTTTAACTAAAATCCATCAAAGTTAAGAAAGACCTAAATCAGGTTTGACTTCACCATACCCCCATACATTGACTCTCACAAAACATAATATTCCAGTTGTAATCAGATCTGGACTAGAAAGCTATCTATTTCTCCATGTTATATTTTAATTTATGCAGCTTGGGATCAAAGTAGGTGTTTTTTTTTTTTTTTTTTTGGCAGAGTCATTATGCTAGTGACTCACACCAAGCTTGCATTCAGCTCAACTCTCAAATCTGTTCCTCTTATGATGTTGAGCAACATTTCTCCCACACTGTACCAAGGTAGTTGTTTTGCTGAATTTGACTGTAAGACTTTACCTTAAAAATTATTTTTTTAATTTTTTACAGTGATATTAATGTAAAATTTTATGTACTTCCTTTTCTATTCGAACAAATGTAAATGAATAAAATAAGCATTTGAAAAATCTCAAATCTCATTAATAACCAAATGTATGTTTAAATAACATTTTCACTGAATTAGTAAATATTTTTTAAAAGACTGAAAGGAAAAGAAAATACACATTAGAAATGGTCAACGCAAAATTATTAAATGTCATCTTGCTGGATTTGGCTGAGTGCCAGCTACTGAGTCTTGTCATTTAATGCAACCTTCTAGTTTCACCCTACCCGAAAGCTTGATGAGCAGGTCATCTGGGCTATGCACCAGATATTAACTTATTTCCCCTCAGCTCCAAATGCACCTTCATTGCCTGCTTTGCAATAATGTAACTATTGTAACTATTTCTCCTTTGTCAGCTGATTCAATGTTAAGCTTTGCCAGCAGAAGACACTGGGAGGGACACTGGAGGAGGAAGGGGTTTCTCTTCCTGATACCAGTATGATATCTCAGCAGGCTTCTGTAGCACATACTTCTACAGTACCCAGCTCCTGCAGTGCGTGGTGGCTGGAAACACATGGTACTCCTCAAAGGCAGATTTTCAGTATCCCCTTGGGGGGCTTCACAGAGTAGTGCTGCTGATGTAGCAACTCCCAAAGAATGACTTCCTTGGAGCCACTCGAGGCAGCTTCCCCCAGTACTCCAGAGGGCAGATTTCTAGAGCCCCCAGCAAACTGCACTGCCATGGCTGTACCTCTTCCAGCAGGATCTGCAGCTTAGCATTGTAGCGAGGAGTCTTCTCAGAGGTGGTAGCTGCTCCTAACATCTGCTATTCCTGTATTCTTTAGAGTTATTCTTACCCTTGACTAGCCAACCCTCCATTACTCCAATCCCCTGTCACAGTTAATTATTTATATAAAACTTTCTCTGTTCAATTTACTTGTGCCTTTGTCTCCTGATTAGACCCTGACTGATATAGGTCATTATTAAAACTATTGATAAAAAACTTGCTGGAAAAAGAGATAAGAACAAAGCCACCCAACCCTTCCTGATATATAATAATCTGTTTAATAAGGCAGGAAATGTGTAATATAATATGGACACATTCTCATAAAAATGCCTAAAATATATATGGTAGAGGCTATTTAATGGAGGAGATGACTGGAGAAGTTGCTTTTGTGGGACAGCTCATCTCCGTGCTTACAGCTCCCTCTGCATGGGAACACCCTACCCCTCGATCTTCCCACACTGGTTCCCCAGCATTCAGGTCTCAGTTCAAATTTCAGCTTCTCAGTGAAGCTTGCCCTCATCATCAAATCTCAGCTTGAACTCACTCCCACCTTTTACCAGCCTATCTCTGTATCATCATCCAGTTTAATTTCTTCATGTTATTGTATTTACTTATTGGTTTATTGTCTGCTTTTAATTTCTTGAACACAAGCTCCAGATCAGAACTATGCATATCTCCCCAACATCTAGTTCAGTGCCTGGCACACAACATTTTCTAAAATGAGAGAATTTCTCCATGATCTTAGACAAATGAGACAACATGCTATTTAAAGAAGATATTTAAGGATGCGACGAAGATTTTACACTTGTGAATTATTCATCAAAGGATTAGTTAGGGGTTTTATAAGTGACAAGCATTGCTAGAATTGATACAAACTTAATAAAACCAAGGGAAGAAGTCTGTAATTCCCAAATGCCAAATGTAGTTTGTTATACTAACATACTACTTACCAATCTTGTTTTTTCCTTCTTCATATTTTATTCTTTGTAAAATGTGATGCACGATTCTACTTCTTGTGGCATTGTTGAAGAACGTTTCTTTGTTGTGTATGATGAAGCTGCATACATATATTAAAAATACAAGTTGAGAATTAATCGGAGGTGAAGGATCTAATTTTTGTTATAATTTGGTGTTGCTCAGATGCAGATGTCTTCAGTCAGTCATAGACAGGGTGTGTCTGGAACAGCCTGAGGGAGCCAGAGATCACACCAGGATAGTAGGCTCATAGGTATGAGTAGTTTTGGTTTTCAGCATCAACATCGTTCATGCTAGGAAGGAGCTGGAGCTAAACAAAGTTAAGAAACCTAAAAATAAACTAATAGCAAGTCTAGGTCTTGTATCTTGTTTTTTCTCAGTAAGCTCATTATATTAATTCAACTAAAAATTCATTTTGTTTTTCTCTCCTCTTCTCTCCTACCTCAGGCTCTCCCATGGCATAATCAATGGATTTTCAGAAATTTTAAGATATAAAACTGGCTTGGGTGGTGGATATAGGAGTTAGGTAATGAGCTGTGGTCTGGCTCACAGGTGAGGTGAGAGGCCAGTCTCTGGAAATCACCTCTGTCCTTACCTTTTCCATGTTCTTTCGTGAATAGGATCTTTCTTCTAAAGCACACACTTAAGATTGATTTGCCTCCCAGCAAGTGCCCTAGCCAGTCTCTACTTTGTCAAGGGTGCATGTGCAGGTATGTGTGTGTATGTGTGTGTGCGCACACACACACACACGGCTTTCCAGTAGGTGCTTGTACCCTACTAAGAGGTTTTCTAGGTAGCAGATAGAGCTTCCAGGTTTACATAATCCAGCATGAAATGGCCATGTTTCCCCTTTTTACGAATGCAAAAAATGGTAGAATATTAGAGATACTGTATATGTAACTCCTTCATAAATTATAAAGTTTATCAACCCTGCAAACTTTCCTTGGGCACCTCCTATAAGCTGGACATCATGCAAAGGCATATAAATGTAGGCATTTTCCCCAACACTCAGCTCAGAAGTCACCTCCTCCAGCAAGTCTCCCCACCCCTCCAACTACACTTCTGTCCCCCAAAGCATTCAGTTACTCCTTCCTTTGTGCTATTTCTTATTTTGCAAGCACATCAATTTACTGATCATTCCATATTGTCATTTTTTTTTCATTTGTTCGTCAAATGTTTACTGAGGATACTCTTTTAAGGTACAAATTATACAGTGGTAAACAAAACAGATAAAATCCTTGTCCTTGAGAAGCTTACAGTATAGTGGGGAAGCAAGAGCATCAAGGAAATGAATGTGAGTGTATGCCAGAGAAAGGCAAGGTCAACCTCCTTCTGCATGCCTTTCCTTCCATGTAAGACCATGAGCTCATTCAGGACAAAGGGCTGAATCATCACTTCTGTAGCCCAGGGATCCGGTGAGTGGCTGGTACACAGGTATGTGAGGGTCATGGTAATTTATGATGTGGAATTTGCTAAATGTTTTTCTTCAAGGAAATGAATTCTCAGGAGTTGTTCAAATAATGAGAGGAAGAGAAAAAATTGGCCTCGAGAAAGAGTAGTCCAAGCATGGGGTTTGGTTTGGAAACAGGGCTGGAAATGTGACTTTGGGATAACAGATAAAGGAAAGAAAGGCCAGGGAATATGGAGACAAAAAGTAAATCATGAGAACTGATTTACCGAAGTATTTTTCTCTCACTTTTACTTCTCTTGGATTCTCTTACTGAATACCGCTCTTGGAGAAAGGTAATTTGAGTTGGTGGATGAGCGATAAACGCTGTGTGGGTAAATGAGGATGCTGCAGCATTTATCTGACATTTATCTCTGAAAACATTTTACAGCATCAAAGAGGAAGAGGAGAAAACCGAGAGTCTCACTGAATGTGTTTCTTTGTATTTTATCTTCCTCTGCTTTTTCACCTGATTTGAGACAGGCCATTATATTTTAACACCAAGTAAAGATGTCATAAAGAAATAGACAATAAATAAAAAGCACATTTTGCCTCACAATTCTAGATGATAACTGAAAGCTGAGAAGCACAACTATGCTTGACAAGAAAATTGAAGGCCAAAAGCCCATGTCCCTCCTCCATTAAATGGTTTTCTGCTTCCTTCCCTTTTTATAGCATCACATTACATTTTCTGAGCACATGTAAATGTTCTCTATAATAAGCACCACAGACAAGCTTCAAATTTTTGTTTTTCTTTTCCTTACATCTAGGCTGTACCTGGAGCCTGGAGGTTCTGTAGAGGAATACACACACAGGGCATGTGCCAGACACTATTCTAAACAGTCTCAATACATGAACTTATTCAATCCCTATTTCAACCCATAAGGGAAGTAGTACTTATTAGCCACATTTTACAGGTGAAGAATCAGAGAGGTTAAGTGATGCACCCAACGTCACTGAGCTAAAAAAGGGCTGAACCAGCATTTGAACTCAGGCAGTCTGGCTCCAAAGGCTACCCCTGTGGTGACTCTGTTTGCTCGCTTGCCTCTGTCTGCCAGCTACTTCCTGAGGCCTGGAGGCTGAGTCTCCTGGAGGTCAGCTGAGAGTTCCTCTGTCCAGATTGCTCTTGTTTCCAGGTTTTTATTCATTTGTTTCCAAATCTCAGCTCAGGCCATATCTTCCCCAGAGGCCCTGGCTTGACTTCCATGCCCTCACTCTGAAATGCAGTGTGGTGCTTGATATGGTTTAGCTGTGTCCCCACACTCTTCTTGAATCATAGTTCCCATAATCCCCATGTGTCATGGGAGGGACCTGGTGGGAGGTAATCGAATCATGGGGGTGAGTTTTTCCAGTGCTGTTCTTGTGATAGTGAGTAAGTCTCATGAGATCTGATGGTGTTATACAGGGCAGTTCCCCTGCACATGATCTCTCCTGCCTGCCAACACGTAAGATGTGCCTTTGCTCCTCCTTCATCTTCCACCATGATTGCAAGGCCTCCTCAGCCATTTGGAACTGTGAGTCCATTAAACCTCCTTTCCTTTATAAATTACCCAGTCTTGGGTGTGTCTTTATTAGCAGCGTGAGAACAACTAATGTGATGCTATAAAGAGAGAAGGAAGCAAAGAACCACTGATGGAGGAGGAGGAGCGACTTTTAGCTCTGAGTATGCTGAACACTCTGATTTATCTCAATACTCTGCAGTCAGACAGACCTCAGCATATACTCCAGTAGTGCCACCTATGATGTGGTTTTAGGGCTATCCCTCAACTTTTCTGGGTCTTGGTTTCCTCATCTGTGAAATGGGGATAACACTGTAATCACCTTCACAGGGCTATTGTACAATTAAGTGAGATGACACGCAGTGCTGAGCCCACTGGCTGGCATTGAAGATGTTCTCAGAGTTAGCTGTCATCATTGCTGTAGTTTCTATTACATTCCATGAAAGCTGTCCGCCCACATGGCCCACTTCCTTGGGTGAGCTTCTTGAGGGCAGAAACCGGCCATGCTCATCTCTGTATTTCCAGCACAGGTAAAGGGCTTAGCACATGATAAACACTTAAAGTTGGATCAAATGAGCTGACCATCTGAAGAACACTAGCTAATGTTGGTGGCTGATATAGTTTGGATGTTTGTCCCCTCTAAATCTAATTTTGAAATGGAATCCCCAGTGTTAGAGGTGGGGTCTGGTGGGAGGTGTTTGGTTCATGGGGGTGGATCTCTCATGAATGTCTTGGTGTTACGCCCATGGTAATGAGTGAGTTCTCACTCTGGTAGTTTATGTAAGAGCTGGTTGTTTAAAAGAGTGTGGCTCCCCACTTCCCCCTGCCCCACCTTGCCCTTGCTCCCACTCTTGCCATCTGACATGCTTGCTCTCTCTTCACCTTCCACCACAATTGGAAGCTTCCTAAGTCCTCACCAGGAGCAGATTCTGGTGCCATGCTTCCTGTACAGGTTTATATAACTGTGGCCAAAATAGACCTCGTTTCTTTATAAGCTACCCAGTCTCAGGTATTCCTTTATAGCAATGCAAATAACCTAACACAGGGGCTATGAAACTAAATCTCATCTCCTTATACCTTGGCCTCTGCTCTTGCTCTTGCCATCTCTTCTAGCTATCAGCTGAACTACTGCCTCCACACTGCATGTCTAAGGATCTTCCTGCGGGGTGTGGAACACTTTCATTTTCTGGGTCATTCTTTCAAACTGGAGGATTATGAGAAGGAACAGTGATGATTCCCCATATCATGGTTCTCACAGTTAGCCACAGCTTTCTCCAAATGAAGTCTCTCTCTCTCTCTCATACACACACATATCCCCCATCCCCTCATGCACACAATGTAAGCTAAGCAACTCTGGCAAACATGAGGCTTGGGGCTCAGTCTCTGACCAGGGCTTCACATTGGCTTGTAAACTCATATCCACTCCCATGCACTGCTAGGGGGAGAGCAAACATACAAACTCTTTAAGGGCCATTTGGTCAGGTCTATCAAAACTACGCATATATCTTCACTACATACCATCTAATCTAGGGATTTCTTTTTTTAGAAATGTATTCTACAAATATACTTACCCGTGTGCAAAGTGACAGATGTACAACAATGTTCATTATGGCATGGGTTATAATAGCAAAAGCCTGGAAATAACCTAAATTATTAATCAGTGGGGGATAGGATAAGAAAATTATGGTACAACTCTACAGTGGAATATTCTGCACCTGTAAATAGATTAAGGGCCCTTGGTGTAGATCTAAAAAAATCTCCAAGACAGGACAAGGAGAAAAGGTTCAAAACAGTCACACAGCTATTTGTGTCAGAGGAAAATGTGCACATATTAGGAAGTACATGCATATGAATATGTTGATAGGCATATTTGCTTGTGCATGCACAGAATGACTATGGGAGGACACATACACCTCGGAAAACATTGGTTGCCTCTGGGGAGAACTGGGTGGCTGGATAGACAGGAGGAAAACTTCATTGTACATACTTAGGAAATTTTTACCATGTGTAAGTACTATTACACATTTTTTAAAAAACTGCAATTTTTGGCTGGGTGCAGTAGCTGATGCCTGCAATCCCAGCACTTTGGGAGGCAAATGCAGGAGGACCGCTTGAAGCCAGAAGTTCAAGACCAGGGCAACATAGTGAGACCCCATCTCTACAAAAAAAAAAATTAGCTGGGTGTGGTGGTGTGAACCTATAGTCCCAGCTACTCAGGAGGCTGAGGCAGGGCAATCCCTTAGGCCCAGGAGTTAGAGGGTATAGTGAGCTATGAACACAACACTCCAGTCTGGGTGATAGAGTGAGATTCTGCCTCTTAAAAAACATTTGAAAATATTTTTAAAAAGAAAACTTAAAAGGAAAGCACATTTCTGTTCTAGGTTTGCTCTCACATTCCCCCTGAAATTCGGTGAAGAGGGGAATAAACTGCTGAATGGGTGTAGCATCAACTCTGTGATCAAGGCCTATATCCACACATCTCCTTATCCTGCTACTTTGACGGGCTAATGTAATTTGCCCAAAGTCACACAAACAGCAAGTGGCAAGGAGGAATTCAGAAAACATCTGTTTTGCTCCAAATTTTCTCCTGCGTTTGTGAAGGGAACTGTGAGGGGCCCAGGTCTGCCTGTGTGCATGTGTGTGAAGGGCTTTCTGCATATCTCCATCACACCCCATGAGGAAGACCTTGCTGGCCTGCTCATGAAGTAATGGGCAGACCAGGGCCTGAACTTCCCACTGACTCTCCTCTAGGCTCGACCTTTATGCTTTCTAGGGTAGTGAGCAACCTCGTTTTCACCCGGGGTGGTGGAAGATTGAGGTCCCAATATTCCTTTTGCTAGGAAGGGAGAAATGAGAAATAAATACGCTGCGCAATCGGGTTTTAGTTACAGACCTCCTGGAGTTTATTTGCTCTGATTGATAGGTTCTTCCTGTGGCCAACTGTCCACAGTAGTGTTGTAAAATGCTGTGATATGCTGGGTCATTTAACAAGTAAATATTATGTTTGTTCTGTGCAAAGCAATATGTATTGAGGGTGTGTATATATGGGCATGGGCGTTGTATATTTATATATTTTGAGAGGGGAATGCAAAGGTGAAAAAAACCTAGTTTCTCTCCTCAGAGGAACCTACACCTTCATAGATAACATGAGAAACACACAAATATTCAAGGGTGTGAGCTGGGGAAAGGTGCTCATTAATGCTGGATCTAAAATCAGCTTATTATAAAATATGCTAATTTTAAAGCAGGTAACTTTCTTTTTTTCCTAAACTTTCCTCTTAGATCACAGCTTTTAGGATAAGACTACACTTTCTTCACAAATTAATATAACTGAAGGGAACATTAGATTAATCTAGACTCCAGCACTGTTTAATAGAAATTTCTGAGATCATGAAAATGTTCTTTATCTGTGCTATCCAATATGGTACTCATGTAACTATTGAGCACTTGAACTGTGACTAGTAAAACTAAGAAAGTGAATTTTAACTTAGTTTAATTTTAATTGATTAAAAATTAAATTTAAGTAGCTACATGTGGCTGGTGGATACTATATGAACAGCATGGATAAACAATTGCCTAAGTCATGGGTGACACTTTGAGGATGTGGCACACCCACTGCCTCCAGAATGGTATCTTAAAACCCTGCATCTCCCCTTGATTACAATAAGCAGGAGAGTAGAGGAGGGGTTAGCAGTGCCCTACAGGACTATGTGTAGGTTGCCAGAAGACCTGGTTCAAGCCCTGCTCTTCCACTTTAGTTGTGTGTCCTTGGGTAATTCATTGAGTCTCTACTTGTCAGGAAATGAGGGTCCCCATGTCTTAGTTGCCCAAGGATAGGGTTAGATAGTCACAAAGTGAGACTATAAAGTATTGATGAGGCAAGTCATCAAGGCTTGCTGGTAAATGACTGAACTCCCACATTCAACTGCCTGTTTGACATCTCGCTTGATGTCTAAGAAAAAACTCAAACCAAATATTTCCAAAACAGAACTTTTGATCTGGACCCTTATAAAGGAAAAACCTGTTCTTCCCCTAGGCTTTTCCATCTTAAAAAAGGGCACTGCTGGGTCAAATGGTAGTTATGTTTTAAATGCTTGGAGAAATCACCAAACTGTTTTATACAATGGCTGAACTAATTTACATTCCCACCAGCAGTGTATGAGAGTTCCCTTTTCTCCAGATGTACCCTTGAACCTAAAATAAAAGTGGAAAAAAAAGGAACTGAAGTGCACCCAATTTCACAAGTCACAAACTTGAGATGCATCCTTGACCCTCTCTCTTATGCCCAACATCCAATCCATCAAGGTCTCTGGGCTCCTCTTCCCAAATATTATCCTGAATCTGACCCTTTCTCACCCTCCTACTGCAAAGTTGTTTCTAGGACTACTACAATAGCTTCCTAACTGTACTATCTAATTTCACTGTCTCTTTTGTCCATCCTCTACACAGCAACCACAATGATTTTTTAAAAAAAATGAATAAGATCTTATGCTTTTCCAGTTAAAACTCTTCAATGACTTCACCTTTCCACACAGTCCTTCATGGTTCCTGCCCATACCAATGACCTTATCTCCTTTCTTCCCTTTGCTCATTGTAAACAAGCAACATTGAATTTGTTTTCTGACCCTGAACAAACAAACCCAGACTGTTACTGCCCAGGGCTTTTGATCATGCTTTTCTTAGATTCTTGCACAACTTGTTTCTTCCCAACATTTTGTTCTCAAATTAAATGTCACCTCTTCATCATCCTAGCTAAGATAGTCACTCTCCTGCCCCAATAATCTCTCTCTCTCACTCTGTCACTCATTCTCTCTCCTCCATTACCCTGTTTTATTCTCTTATGTTTTACTCCCTAAAATTTTTAAAAATAGAGCTGGGATGAGGTGGGGATGTGTCTACATTTTTGTTGTCTGCCCCTCTCCCCCTACAGACTGCAAGCTCTGTGAGGGCAGGGCTTGGTCTGTCTCATGCTCTACTCTAGGCCCCAAGTAAATAAGTAAATCATGTGATTCCCATAGAGAACCACTGGGTGTTCCAGAAACTGTCAGGTTATATTATAGATAAATTTTAACTTTTTTTGTAATTTGAAGATTCTCAAAATCAGTATCATTTTATAATGATGCTTTGTATGTGGTACTACTTTTGGGGAAGTAAAGGCAAGGAAGATGGTTTTTCCATTTTTTTTTTACATATATTATGAAATTTCTGAGGTGGGTCAAACAAACAAGTATTCTCAAAGGTATGAAAATCTGCATGGTTAAAAACTTCAGGAGGAAGGGGTAACTTTGTCAAGAAGCACTTAACTACCTACAGATGGTTTTGTACAATTATTTTAGAATTATAGTCACATTATTGACCTCTGTGAATCTAAAAATTTAAGGCATGTGGCAAAGTAGGAAACAGAAACAGATAACTAATCAAGGTAGGTTTTTTGACCCTGGAGTGAAGGAGCCTGAAGCATGTGACCAGCTGGGTTTCAGATTAATGTGAACAAGTGACTGCTACAGTCTTCTTGTTGTTCCCCATGTTGAATGGCAGTACCTATTGTAATTATTCTGCCTCTGTTCCATCACCATGTGTTGGAATTGTAGGGAGCAGGTAACTTGTCTTTTTCATTCACAGGTCTCTGGCTCACAAAGAGTGTACACCTGAGGAGTTGTAGCCAAGGGTTTTCATCCTCAACTCACCTGATGCAGAGCATGAGATCTAAGACTGTGAACCTGATGCAATATTGGGATGAGACCCATGGAGATCCTGGAATGGGAATGAGAATATTTTCTATATGGAAAAAATGTGAATAAGTTTCAGCCAGACAGCAGTCTGTGGTAGATTGCAAAAAAAAAAAAAAAAAGAAAAAAGGCCATGATTCCTCCTATGTCTGTATATACACTCCTTTGGGATGTGAATTTCTTGCTCCTTCTATCAAGAGGTAGACTGAGCTGGATTTGTGAATGGCTTTAATCTACAGTATACAGCAGAAGTAATTTCCATGATTTTTTGGCATAGGTTCTGCAGCTTCCATTCTTGCCCACTTGGAATGCTGCCCCAAGGCTGCCAGGGTAAAGAAGCCCAAACGAGCCTCTTTGAAGATGAGCCATGTGGAGACAGAAATGCAGCCAAGAGCTGGCAGCATCCCCCAGCTATGTGAATGACAGAGACCATTTTGGACTGTCCAGCTCATTGAGCAAAGGGACAACTGCAGCCACATGTTGACTCCAGGTGAAAGCAGTGGAAGAACTTCCCAGCTGAATCTAGCACAAATTGCTAAAACAAAAGAATAATAAGCAAATAAAATGTTTAAGTCAGTAAATTTTGTAGTAGATTGTTATGTAGCAATAGATAACCAACATACCAGTCTTTTCTGATGTTTAAAGTTGTGTTATTCCATAATATAATAAGGGAAGGTTAATGCCTTAAAAATAAATATTTCAGGAAACTTTCTTAATTAGACTTTTAAATAGGTATTTCTTTTTTAACAAGGAGAAGCAAAGGTGATACAGTTAACTGTCACTTATATTATGTCCTCAAATTAATGAAAATCTAAGTAGGAACAAAGCAACCAATTAATTTTTTATGTGACAAGGCCTATTTTGAGCGTTTTCTGGGCCTTAGGCAACTGCAGCACAATATCTAACTTCTAATCTTGAGTAGACATTTTATGAGCAAAAAGATGAGAAGATTGTCAGGCCAAATATATAACATTGAAAGTTCTGACTATTTGGTAAAGATTTTAAAGTTTCTTTTTTTAGATCAGGATGACAGGTTACTGAAATGTAAAGGACTGTGAGTCATTTTCCTTATTCAAATGGCCATTTCTAATTGTACTTCATGATATCATCTTCGTTATCTAAGTGTTAAATACAAATTAAGAAACATTTGCTCTTGAGCTTCCAAGTAAAGATGGAAAATTAAACATTTGCATACAATTTTTCTGTCTCTCTCAAAATCCCATGAAAATGATAGTAACATGCATAGTGGGTGTGTATGTTTAAATAACAGTAAGAACACTCATAGAACAAAGATAGCACAAAACAACAGCATCAAAATGTTGGAATGTGCCAAGCAGACAGATCTATGTAATAATAGACTTAGAAAACCAGAAAAAACTGAATGCTAAACCAGTTCTGGGGAAAACCCAAGAACAATAATATTTATACTACGAAATCCCAGAAAATCTTAGAACTGGGGCACACAGTGACCTAAAGAAGTGGGGTGAAGGTCCAGAAAATAACTTGAAGAATTCTCCCAGAGCAAAAATATATAGATTATCAAAAAAAGAGGAAGATAAGGACATTAGAGGATCAGCCCAGGAAGTCCAATAACTGAAAAATAGGAATTCCAGAAAGACAAAAAAGGAATAAATCAGCTAAAACATTCAAGAATTATTCAAGAAAATTTTTCTGAACCGAAAGACAAGACTATACAGGTTGAAAGGGTTCACTGAGCATCCAGTAATATAAGTAAACATAGAACCACATCAAGATACATTCCTATGATATTATAGAACACTGAGGCCAAAGAGACAATTATATAAGGTTCCATAGAGGAGAAAGGTTACGCACAGAGAATTAGGAATTGGAATGTTTTTGAAGTTCTCAGCAGGAATATTGAATATTAATTTTAGAAGTTAAAAGATCAAGAACTTAAAAATTGTGAGAAAAACAGATTTTGGTTTTATACAGAATTCTATACCTAGCCCAACTATCATAATGAGTGCAGTATAATGAACATATACTTCATTGCTTGGGCTGTCATAACAAAGTACCATACCCTGAGTGGCTCAAAAAACAGAAATTTGTTTTCTCACAGTTCTGGAGGCTGAAAGTCCAAGATCAAGCTGTCAGCAGAGTTTTTTCTTCTAAATTTTCTCTCCTTGACTTGTAGATAGCTGTTTTCTCTATATGTCTTCACATGATCTTCTCTGTGTGTATGTCTGTGTTTTAATTTTCTCTTATATAACAGCACCAGTCATAATGGATTAGGGCCCATCCTAATAACTTCATTTTAACATAATTACCTGTTTAAAGACCCTATCACCACCTAAGGCCACATTCTGAGATATTGGGGGTTAGGATATTAACATGTGAATTTCAGAAGGTCACAATTTGACCCATAACAGTATGCATGATCGCAAAAATAATATCATCCACGTAATCTTATTAGGAAGTCACTAGAGAATGCAAAATGAGGGTACAATAAAAAAAGTGTAAGAAATGATACACAGGAAACAGAAGATGCCACAAAAGTGAAAGACAAAGAGAATCCTAGGATATCCTTGGTAAAGGAAGATACCAAGATGATAATTTATAACAGGAGCGGAAGGCAAGAGTTCAGATTGGAACTTGTCAGAAGGCTCCAGAGTAATTTTCTCAGGAAGATGAAATTGATTACGTATGATGCATCTGAACATCTTGAAATTTAGACAATTTAGGTAAACTCTGCCAAATAACTGGCAGAATGTAAGATGGAATTAGTAATAGGTACATAGAAAATTTTGAAAATTAAAAATCAAGAGAATGAGTTACTCCAGTTCAAGCAAAAATAGCGCAAAAAAGGAAAATGATTCATATTGTACTATATGACCTAGCTCTGGGTAGCATTTGTATAGTCATTATGTAAATAGTGATCTACATTATGATAATGTAATTAAATTGTAATATAACTACGTTGAAAGGATAAGAATAGGTATCTACTGTAGTAAGAATTGTAGGGAAGAAACAAACAGCAAATTCTTATTCTCTATGGGGGAAGTAATAGATTCTGCTATAACTGAAAAACAGCAAAGTAATAATAAAATAGTTTATTTAGATATGAGGCATTAATTGCCAAAATAAACAGGTAAAAGAGTTGAAAGGGGCTGCTTCTTGGGAGGGGCAAATATAAAGGGTTGAAGCATGGGATTGCTGTTTTTCAAAACAAACCTTGTAGGGCTATTTAAAATGTATACATGTCTAATTTTAATTTAATTTATAAGGTGGTAGGAAAGGAAGGAAGGAAGGAACCCTTTGGAATAACATATTTGTCAAAGATAACTAACATTTTAAAAAATTGAATTATTTTCAAAAATAAAACATCCACATTGAAATAAAGTCAGAATCTTCACAATGATTCTTATTGCTTTTAGGGCTCAGTATTTTATGCACTAGATTAGACTGACAAATACTGATGTTCCAGCTTGAAGGTAGACTTTTGAGGGAAGTCGCCTCATAGATAGAATTTACCTTTTGTGAGCCCAAGATATTGTAAACATGTGGGCAGCTCGCAATATTTTTTTTTAGAAACTCAAGCTGAGTGTGCTGGCACACACTTGTAGTCCTAGCTACCTGGGAGGCTGAGATGGGAGGACTGCTTGAGCCCAGGATTTCAAGGCTGCAGTAAG
Organism: Homo sapiens; assembly: GCF_000001405.40. NCBI lineage: Eukaryota > Metazoa > Chordata > Mammalia > Primates > Hominidae > Homo > Homo sapiens. The sequence continues at coordinate 101,007,790 of NC_000012.12, read as the reverse complement.
CTATGATCACGCAGCTGTGCTCCAGCCCGTGTGACAGAGCAAGACCTTATCTCCAAATGAAACAAAAACAAAACTCTGAGTTCTGGGTCACTCTTTTCCCCCCCAAATAATATAGCTAGGTTATATCTTATTGGTTGGAATGACAACATCTTGAAGGAATACAATAATATCTACTTTGTTGGTTAAAGAAAAAACAAACCTGGGTTAGAATCTTGGTTCTGCCAAGCACTAACTGTTTGAATTTAGAAAAGTAACATCTCTAAGCCTTAGAATTCTTATCTTTCAAATGGGGACAACCATAACACCCACTTCAGAGGATGTTTGAGGATTAAGAGATACTGCATGCAGTGTGGTTACATACACATGATGCTCATAAATGGTAGTTTCATGATTTTTATTATCATCTATTTGTCACTTAAAAATTTTCATTTAAATGTTTTTGAGATGGAGTCTTACTCTCTCCCCCAGGCTGGAGGGCCGTGGTGCAATCTCCGCTCACTGCAACCTCTGCCTCTCGGATTTAAGCAATTCTGCTTCAGTCTCCCAAGTAGCTAGGCCTACAGGCGCATGCCATCACACCCAGCTAATTTTTGTATTTTTAGTAGAGACAGGGTTTCGCCACGTTGGCCAGGCTGCTCTCGAACTCTTGACCTCAAGTGATACACCCACCTCGGCCTCCTAAAGTGCTGGGATTACAGTCATGAACCATGGTGCCTGGCCCACTATTTGTCACTTTTTATAAGATTACTGACTCTCATGGTTCAAACAGGCCCCCAGTGTATAAGTTCCTGCTATTTTGAAATAAGATCTTGTGAACATCTTTTTCTTTTAATAAAATATGTTTAAACATACAAAAATGCACTGGTGAACGACATCAAACACCTATATACCCACTAACAAACTTAAGAATCAAAAGTTTGCAAATATAATTGAAGTTTCTCTGTGTCCTCCTTTTTAATTGTATTCTCCTCCCCTAGAGGTAACCACTATCAGGAATGTTTTATAATCCACAACATGCAGGTATTCCTAAAAATACAGTATTGCATATTTTAGAACTTTATAGAAATGGTATCATGCTATAATTACTCTCCTGCAAGTTGCTTTGCTTGCTCAGCATTGAGGTTCATGATGTTCATACAAGGAGCTCTAGTCCATCATGTTCCCTGCTGCTCAGAAGTCTACTGTATGGGACAGTACAGTTTACTGGCTCATTGTCTTGCTAGTGGATACTTAGGCTATTTATAAAGTTTTATTATTATAAACAATGCTCTAATGAACGTTCTGCAAAATGCACATGTGCAAGTGTTTTGAGGAAGTACCTACTTTAGGAAGAGCATTACTAGGACTAAGGGTGCATGTCCAATAGGACAGGTCTTAAGAAAGAAGCAATAGTCAAATTTTGGGGTCTTATTCACCCATGTGTCACAACATCCTAATAAGACAAAATGGTGAGGTGTGTATTTGACAGTAATGATGATTAGAATGCCAAAACTTGGGAATGATTAAAAAAATAAATCAGAATGGATTTAAGGTACCTTTATAATAGGATCATTTTACTCCCAGGTATTCTAACGTGCTTTCTGCAGGAACAGGAAAACATGAGGGAGCATGTTGCATAAGTAAAGTATCACAGTAGAAAAAGGCTGGGGAATAGCCTTTTTCTTTTTATTTATTGGTTGCATCAATAAATATTTTAAAGAGTCAGTTATCTAACAAAAGGATATGCATTAATTGAGCCAGAGGTTGAAAACCTATTGGTAAGGCACAGTAGGCCAAACAGTACCTTTGATATTGGCTAGGTATACACAACCAAGAGAAATGGAGAGGTGGATAGCAATCTGGATAATTCTGGAAGAAGAGGAGGAGGCAGGAAGAGGAAATGATAGGGGAAAAGAAAGGAGAAAGGATGCTATAGAAAAGAGAAGAAAAAAGTAAGAGAAAAAAGTAATATCCTAGAATTGGGAAAACTTCCCACCAATCTTAAACTATCTACCTTTAAGACTGGATCATGAAAATCAGCATTTATAGAATTCACATATACTAAAATTATCTATTTATATATAAGGTTCCATCAAAATTATCAACAAAAATAAAATACCTTTATCGAACATATACCATAAGCACTGATATACTGTGTTGTTAATTTTCACAATATTATATGGCTATTTTTTATTATTTCCAATTTACAGATGAAGAGGTTGAAGCTCAGAATCACATACCTTACAAGTTACAGAGCTGGGATTGGGCACCCAGGCCCTGTGTTTCCAACCAGAGCTTGAGTGAGCTCAACCATTAATCCTTAAGGTCAGAAAATGATTCATTCATCTTTGTCCAGCTCTACACAGTTCTTGCCACAGAACTGGTACTTGATGCAGACTCAACTGAGATAGACACTCAAAAATGAAAACAATGCAATATTCAAATTTATTAGAGATTAGTTTTATTTGCTATTCAAAAGTGAGCCAGAATAAAGAGGAAATCATTTTTTTTAATCTATAAAACAAGTCTGGAAATATTTCCTAATTAATCCTCAGACCAGAAAAATCCAATTTAGAATAAGCTAAGCTCTCAGCGTTCCACTAATTAGGGCACTACTGTAATTCAGTCAATAGTAAGGTTTTGCTTGAATTACTTAGGCAATTGTCCCTGCATAAGTTTATTATTCAGTGACTCAACCATGGCTCCCTCCATCTTAGTCTGATCTTAGTCATGGGTCTCATTTTTATATGAGCTGAGTTGTTCTGAATGTTGACCAAATGGACAGATCCATCTCTGTCCCTGCTGTTCATTTATATTGCTGGGAGCAGCAAAGTCCTAGAAACTCTGCCAAGCATCTGCAAAATCTGGAAGTTGGTAAAATTTATCTTCCATGATCCCCCTGTTTTCATTGCTCTTTTTTGGCCCTCCACCATCTTTGTGGCATTCTCTATCTGCCCCTGCTACGGCCAAAATACCTCATCTGTATCTCTTGCTTCCTCTTCTTATTTTCAATAAACTATTCATAATGGGGTGTCAATAAAGAAGGACATTAAAATTTTCATCTTTCCAAGGGACATTTTTATTTTAATTGAGGATGACTTTAGCCAAAGGATTAAAGTTCAAATTGTAAAATTCCAGGTATTAGGGAGTGTGCTGTCTATTAAGTTATCTCTGATTTCCCCTTCCTTACTCTTTTCTATAATACAATGCCAGAATAGAGACTCTGCAAACTACATTTCTGCATTGCTGTCTGTCTCTCTGATATGCTCTGTCAGTACAGGGCATGAGAGGGAGACTGGAAGGGAGAACAGGTGAAAGGACCTTGGTCCTTCTTGTTTGCCTGCCTGTTCCTGTCAGCAATGATCCTCTGACCTCACAATGGCAGCTGGTTCCAGTTTCCAGCTGAAAAGCAACACTCCCCAAACTAGGCTCACTCCGTTGCCCCATATCCTTGAGGGCCCAGCACCACAAGGGCAGAATCTCCTCCCCAGGAGTCCGAGGCTCAGCTCCACAGGGCCTCTCTGAGCATCTTGGTTCCGATAACCCCAACCTCTTCATTTTGCTCCCCCAACTCTAGAGGCAGTAGCTGCTTCACTTCCTGCAGTTATCATCTGCTTGACTTCAGTGTTTCCTTTGCGACACTATAGTTCTTCACTTCCCCCACAGTATCCTTTTTTTAAAAAAATAACTGCCAGGTTTCAGTTTTCCTGAATGGAACCTAAGTAGTATAGGGATCTAGAGAAAGAAACATTCTTTGGAGAGGAGACCTCCTTCTCTGAGAAACTACACACCACAGAAGCAGCCATCTACCTATCCTGCTTGGTAATCTGATAGGAATATCACCCAAGTATAAAGATAGATTTTTGATTTGGAATTTTCAAATATTCCAGTTTCAAGTGTGATTTCTACCCTACAGAGATCTCTCTTCTGCCCAGGTCTTTGTTAACTTGCATGGAAAATTCCTTTTCTAAAAATATGCTAGGTGTTCAGAACAAAACATTTACCATTTCCTTCTAATGAGAATATTCAAAAACTTCTCTTCTAGATATTTTGAAATATACAATACATGATTGTTAATTCTAGTCATCCTACTATACAATAGATCACCAGAACTTATTCCTCCTATATAAATATGTGCAATTACGTGTAAATCATAAAAAAAAGTATGAGACATCATCTGAGCCCCGTAAGCTCACAGACTGATGTGCCATGCGAATGTGACAAAACAAAACAATATTAATACGAGGTATTCCTGAGCATACTGTCTTATTAGTCCCAATTTGCTGCTTTGAAAATATATCTCTACTCATTACCATGTTACTGACATTCTCCCTGCCTGGAGAAAGCATATAATTCCCTACCACATTGATACTATGCTTGGTCATAAGGCTTGTTTTGGCACACAGAGTGTGAGGATATGTGATATATGCCACATCTGAGCAGAAATTTCAAAAGTCAATGTGTGGTTGTGCCATTACTTTTTCCCTCTGCTATGAGAATGCATGTCTTACAGACTGCTTCTTCAGTCCAGATCCCATGATAAAGGAATCATGTGAGGCAAAGCCTCAGTTGACCCGTTGCTAACATGTTATGTGAGCTATAAATAAACCTTTGTGCAGGCCACTGAGATTTGAGGGTTTGTTGTATCAGAACCCAGCAGAACCTGGCTGACACAGTCTCTAACCTAACAATGATAATCCTGTAATTTATGGCTTCGCCTGAAGAAGATGAGTGTTTTCTTTTTTCCTGATGGAGAAGCTGTGGCAATCCATATAAGAAAGCAATAGGAGAGAGGGCTGAGGTTTGTGGGGAGGAGAGCAACATAGGAAGAGGAAAGAAAAACCGTATAGGCTAGGGCAGAGGAGGAATGCTTTTGTCAACAGTAGGAGGATGACCTTTGACTAAGGAAGGAGAGGAAAGGATGATAATAAATGGATGCTGAGGATATGGTTTCCCTTTATGTCCTTTGAGAAACTTAGTCTGGAGCTCCCTTCTAATTACTTTTGGCTGCTGAATTGGGCTTTGTGTAGAACACAGTCATGAAAACAAGTAACTGTGATATAATAGTCAGTGCCATAATTAAAGCATTTACAGAGGCTAATGGGCCCAGAAGTCTAATGCTGTCTGCATGAGACATGAGACATAAGATGTTTCATAAAGAAGATGACACCTGAACTCGTTACTGAGGGAAGAACAGGATATTACCAAAGAGTGAGAGGAAAGAGAGCACACCTTGGGAAGAGGAAAAATAGTCATGGAATATTTAGGGTCACTTCCATTCCCATGCTGCAGGAGCACCAGCCCAAAAGGCTGGGGGGAGAAGGGAAGAAGCTAAAAAGGCAGTTTTGTATGCCATGTGAAGAAATTTAAGCTTTATCCCAAAGGCCCTGGGGAATCATTAAAAGCTGTTAAGCAAGGAAGCAATGTTACTACACGTGGCACTACTGTGCATTATTCACTCCTGCAGGTGCACAGCCAAGGGCATGATGAAGGGTTGACCCTGTCCATACTCTGCTTGCCAATCCATGCGCTACGAATATTCCTAGAGGAAGGATGTCCTTCTTCTAACTGTGCACAGGTACTGTAGGAACCAGTGCCAGCAGCCTTGCAAATGTCCTGTGACATGAGTGGGATAGACAGATTTGGGAGTGAGGAAAGACAGAGGTGAAGAGACTGTCGTAATTGTTCATCTAAGTGGCTGCTTCCACTAAGGCAATGGCAGTGGGGTTAGAAAGGAGGAGAAGGGCCGAAAGGATTTGGTGGTGATGGTGGGCAGCGAGGAAGATGGGAGCGTCAAGGTTGGTCAACACACAGTGGTGAAATCACTCATCTAGAATGGGAAACACCAAACTGATGGTGTGGGTGTTGTATCAGGGGTGAGGAAAGTGGGAAGTGAGAAGAATCAGGTTTTTCCCCACAGACAAAGACATTTCTAAGACGTGGTCTTGAATTAGTGGTTATTTGAATAAACTACCATCTTCACAGTTTACAGGTTTAACAACTCCTTCTCCCCAGTGCCACTCCTGGATGTGAGTCAGAAGCAGGCCCAGAAATGACCCTCCCCCAGCTGCTCAGGGTGTTTTCCTACTTTGACCAACTGTGCAACTCAGGTAGGTGACTTACTCCTCCGTGTTCCATTTCTCTAAACGGAAATAACAATACCAGTAGCCTCCCAGGTAGCCCGGTGTCTAGTGGGCAGTCAATATATGTCAGGTTGTATTATGGAAGGAGCATGGGTTTGCAATGAGACAGATTTGGGTTCTAACTCCAAGTCTATTTGTTACTGGGTAACCCTGGCTTAAAGTATTTAATGTTTCTGAGTTTCTGCGCCTCCTTCTGTAAAATTATGTTTCAGGGTTTTTGCAAGGGTCAAAAAAGATAATGTGGAGGGCGTGCAGTGCACAGCCTGGCACAGAATACTGACCAATGGGGCACCAGAGTGTCTACCTGCCTGTGAAGCACTAGGTTTTCCTCACCTCTGCTCTTCCTTGTCTCCTCTCACCACTGTTGTTTCCTAAGACTTAATGCACAGTGTGACTACATACGTATACTATAGCAACAGATGGGATCCTAGTTCCCTTCCTTCCTCTTAGGTTAACCCCTCCTTATTTTACTGTACGTAAATTTGACAACTCTTTCCCTTTCCTATAGGTGTTTTAAATTGCCTTTTACCATTCTGATGAGGAAAATAGCCTCTTGACTATCGAACTTAACATACTGAAGTTAAAATTTTAAATAAAAATATACATGCACACATAAATATACATGCACACATAAATATACATCAACATATTGTATATATTTTTCTATTATAGTACAATATGTGGCACATAATAGGCATTGAAAGTGTTTGTTAAATGAATGAACTGATAAGCAGAAAAACAAACTATGTATTTACAGATAGATAAATGTAATAAAATATTTCCAAGTGACTTATTCACAGATGTTCTCACAAATATTAAGATAACAGACCCAACTAACTACTGGGCCTCCAGATACCCAGAGGTATGCTTTTCCCACCTGATTAGGTGACCTCTTTGTCCCTTTAAAGTCATTAAATTATGTCCTACTTAAAAGGAGCTGTATGATCTTGAGAAGCACAAATCTCAAGATGCGTGGCTTTTTTCATTTTCATTTCAGTTTAAGACTTTCCAGAACATAGATATGTTTCCCCTGACTCTAAGGATCAATACAAACAACCTGAATATTGAGGATCCTAATGCCGAATAAGTAACTGCAATAAAATAAGTGTTCAGAGACTGCTTTAAGTCATTGAGGCACTAAAAGAACCTTAATCCTACGTAAATCAATCTTGGTACCTCTGCCTGAAGGATTCTCTAAAGATTTCAGATCGATGAAAACAATAAAAAAAACTCTTCAGTTCTTTGAAACAAAAATACAGTAAAAGGCACAGGTTAGAAGAATCACTATCTTCCGATATCTATGCTGAGAGTTTAAAAGCAAGTAGTCATATGTTACTGACACATAAAATGTTAAATGGCAAAGTATCTGGAACACTGAGTAACATTTGGCTTAAAAGCAAAGCAATTCCAGTTCAGGTCAGTTATGAGCCTTTGCAAAATCAGTCTCTGTCACCTCAAACTTTCCCATTACACACCAACTGCAACTTTGCAGATTCTCCAAAGGATTCTCAGTATACTGCTGGTTTGTGGTAATAATGATAATGATAACTATCATTTGTTGATTTGTTGAGTGCTTTCTATCTGCCAGGTACTGGACTAAGCCTTTTTTTTTTTTTTTTTAAGATGGAGTCTCGCTCTGTTGCCCAGACTGGAGTGCAGTGGCATGATCTCGGCTCACTGCAACTTCTGCCTCCCTGGTCCAAGTGATTCTCCTGCCTCATCCTCCTGAGTAGCTGGGACTACAGTCTTGCACCACCATGCCTGGCTAAAGTTTTTTTTTTTTTTTAGTAGAGAGGGGGTTTCACAATGTTGGCCAGGCTGGTCTCAAACTCCTGGCTGCAAGCAATCTGCCTGCATTGGCCTCCCAAATTGCTGGGGTTACAGGTGTGAGCCATCGCGCCAGGCCCTAAGTCTTTTACATATGTCATTTCATTTAATGTCCCCAAATCCTATTGCCACCTTCCTCTCTCCCTCTCTCTTTTCTTTCCTTCTTTTTTCCCATCAAAACTTTCCTGTCCTCTGTCCCAACCCTTGGCACTTTTTGGATTGGCAAATTTGTACAGCTGTGATAGGCAATATTATGGCCCTCCAAAGATATCCACATCCTCATCCTCAGAATGTTAAGCAATATGGCAAAGAGGAATTAATGATGCAGATGGAATTAAAGTTGCTAATCAGCTGACCTTAAGACAGGGAGATTACCTGGATTATTTAGATAGGTACAATATAATCACAAGGGTCCCTAAAAATGGAAGAGGAAAGCAAAAGAGTCAGAGAAGAAAAAGATGTGAAGACAGAAGCAAAGTCAGAGTGATGTGATGTGAGAAGGACTCAACTACCGTTGCTGGCTTTAAAGATAAAGGAAGAAGCCATGGGCTAAGGAATGTAGTAGCTTCCAGAAATTAGAAAAGGCAAAGAAATAGATTCTCCTCCAGAAAGGAGTGCAGCCTTGACATACCTTAATTAGCTCAGTGTCACCCATGTTGCACCCTAGCCTTCAGAATTGTAAGATGATAAATTTTGTTGTTTTAAACAGTTAAGTCAGTGATAATTTGTTATAGCAGCCATAGAAAACTAACATGCAATGTTAAAAAGATAAGACTGGGGCCAGAATGCTTGGCCTTGAAATCCAGGCCCTACCTCTTACCAACTGTTTGACATTGGATAAGTTACTTAACCCTTCTGTGCCCCAGGTTCCTCCTCTGTAAAAATGGGGATAATGACGATACCTTACTCACAGGACTAAATGAGTTTATAACCGTGAAGTACTTGGAACCCACTAAGCACTATATGAATGTTAGCTATCATATTCCTATAATAAATTTCATATGGTTCTATTGAAATGACCTTTTCTGAAATTGAGTTTTGAGAGGGGCCTCCTGGAATGACTGACTCTAATATTGACAACCTGAGTTTCCATAGCTGGCTAGTGTGAGAGAGCTTTCTGTGGGGTCAGATGTTTAGGTGGCCATACAATCATGGCTGATGGGCAGCCTGTAGGCCTAGCTCTTGTGATAAGATATAAAATGACGAAGGGCTTTATGCATTGACGTATAGAGATGTGTACCCACTGGTTAGCTTCTATTGTTTCTCAAACATGGAACCATTTTCAACTAGAATGTGATGTTATTTGCTTTTTGATCAGTTTTCAAATTTAGTTTTTAAAGAATACAGTTCAAACAACAAAGACAACTAGATTAGTTTGGGTGTTGTATTAGTCAGGGTTCTCTAGAGGGACAGAACTAATAGGATGGATAGATAGATAGATAGATAGATAGATAGATAGATAAAGGGGAGTTTATTAAGTATTAACTCACATGATCACAAGGTCCCACAATAGGCTGCCTGCAAGCCGAGGAGCAAGGAGAGCCAGTCTGAGTCCCAAGACTTAAGAACTTGGAGTCTCACGTTCAAGGGCAGGAAGCATCCAGCACGGGAGGGAGATGTAGGCTAGGAGACTAGGCCAGTCTCGCCTCTTCACGTTTTTTCTGCCTGCTTTATGTTCACTGTCAGCTGATTTGGTGGTGCCCACCCAGATTAAGGGTGGGTCTGCCTTCCCCAGCCCACTGACTCAAATGTTAATCTATTTTGGCCTCACAGACACACCCAGGATCAACACTTTGCATCCTTCAATCCAATCAAGTTTACAGTCAGTATTAACCATCACAGGTATACTGCAGTATTTTGCTGGATACCTTGCCTAAACTCTCACAGAAAGTTATGGCCATGAGCAGTTAAGTCTTCAGAACCATGCTGATGGGACTACCAGAAACAGCCTTCAGAAAAGTCCTGCAAGGCACCTGTGATAAAGAGGTTACCAGGGATACTGTCCACCATATCACTATTTCACTGTCCACTCCAATGACCCTGTGCAAGAATTTTATTTCAGAGTCAAAAAGCAACCCATTACCTATGGTATTGGTTTTCTTCGTCTCTGACAATCAGAATCACATGAGTTACTACGTTTCTCCCTTCCGCTTGGCCCCTTTGGTGTAAAGGCCAATTTTCTAGTTTATTCGTCAACCATTACAGATACATAGGCCACTGAGGCCTGCAAATCTGAGCCTACTTTTTCCCTGAACTTGAATGCCTACTTTAACTTATATTCTCCTTGGTTCAGAATATTCATTTATATTTTTACCATTTTATTTCATGTCTGTTTAATGCATCTCGAATGCTTTAACAATAAATTCCAAAGGAAATCAGATGTCTTCACATGCACAGGCTTATCCCTAGGGTAAGGCAGTTGAAAAATTGTATTTAGGCTCCATTTATGTGGCACCTACAGGAGGTGGCAGCACTGTGGAGAAAAGACACTTTTTTTTTTTTTTTTTTTTGAGACAGAGTCTCGCTCTGTCCCAGGCTGGGGTGCAGTGGTGGGATCTCGGCTCACTGCAACCTCCGCCTCCAGGGTTCAAGCTATTCTCCTACCTCAGCCTCCAGAGTAGCTGGGATTAAAGGCACGCGCAACCACGCCTAGCTAATTTTTGTATTTTTAGTAGAGGCAGGGTTTCACCATGTTGGCCAGGCTGGTCTCAAACTGCTGACCTCGTGATCCGCCTGCCTCGGCCTCCCAAAGTGCTGGGATTACAGGCGTGAGCCACCACACCCAGCTGAAAAGACACTTCTTTCTGTTCACTCATCTAACAGTGACCAGAGCAACCATGAGCAAGTCACTCAGCCTCTCTGACCATCATTATTCTACCCTTACCCTCACAGACTTGTAATATACCTATGGTGTAACCCTGGAATGAAGGAGTTGTTTAGTAAACAGTGGTTGCTATCATTTTTATTGTTGCCATTGGTGCTACCACTGTTTGATTGGCTGATCACTACTGGCTTTAACTTGCTGCCTTTTCTGCTGAGAACAGTCAAAAGATAAGAAGACAATCAAAGGGATGTTACAGAGAATCTCAGAGAATCTCCCACTCACTGTCCCTCCAGCAACAATTTCCCATTCTTCTCCCTGCCCCACTGCCTTTTGAGACGGAGTTTCACTCTTGTTGCCCAGGCTGGAGTGCAGTGGCACAATCTCGGCTCACTGCAACCTCCGCCTCCCAGGTTCAAGTGATTCTCCTGCCTCAGCTTCCCGAGTAGCTGGGATTACAGGCATCCATCACCACGCCCAGCTAATTTTTTGTATTTTTAGTAGAGACAGGGTTTCACCATGTTGGCAGGCTGGTCTCAAACTCCTGACCTCAGGTGATCCACCTGCTACGGTCTCCCAAAGTGCTGGGATTACAGGCATGAGCCACTGCACCCAGCCAACATTTTCCCATTCTTACAAACCCTCCATGACCCCAGCACCAACATTTCCATTGTTAGCGCTTTTTCTTAGGCACAAAGAACTATGTCATTTTGTTATTCTCTAGACTTTTTTCTTATGCCCTAGCTCACAGCATAGAAGCAGAAAAAGGCGTGAAAGCAAATTTTGTGTCAGGTGGTCTTTTTATAATGCCCATTTTGTATACTACACATCACACATAATTAAAAAGTGTGATGCATGAATTAAATATCTTAGTATCAGATGTGAATCCTGATAACAGAATTTAATGGCCGTAAAATGTTTGATAGAGAAGATAGATTATCAGTTAGCAGAACTAAAGCCAAAACTGAATCAAGTCAAGGGAAAGTTCAAGTTGGACATGGAAACCACAATTGACCATTGTGGTTGACCGCATTTTTCACTTCTCTTCTAAATATTCTACAGTTTTTAGATGCTGCATCAAGATCAGAGAAGCTGGCTCCAGAGCCCTGGCTCTGTCCCCCAGCGGTAACAATGCCAATTCTGCCTTGCTCCTTTCCTGTTCTCTTTGGTCTCACAAACATTCCCTGGGTGCCCCTTGCTCCCAGGCACATAGCTCCTGTCCTCAGGTAGCTCACGGTCTAGTAGGAGATGAAAGTAGGAGTCTAAAGCCATGTGATTTTATTTCACATAAAATCTGTGCCTTTTAAAGGCAGACTTTATTTCAAGGGGTCTTTCAATAATATCTGTTTCATACATGCACAGTACATGAGTTAAAACATTTTGTGTACAACACAAAAGCTTTGCAAAGAAATGGGTCAATGCTGAGTTATATGTGGCATGTATTTTCATTATTGATTTTGAAAAGATAGAAACTTGAAAAAATATAAATACATCATGCTTCACACGGATGACTGCAGTTGCCAGAGCAGTCAGAATGACACTGTCAAAAGTTAAGTCAGACCACGTCATTCCTCTGTAAAAGCCCACAGGCCTTACAGGATCAGGCTCCCTCCCACGCCTCTAACTCATCACTATTGTTGTTCTCCTTGGTATTTCTGCTCCAGCCACAAGGTCTTTGTTCTCTTCCCCAAACACAATCAGAGCTTCTCCCAGATTAGGGCCTTGGTTTTGTTTTCTGTTCCCCTCTTGGAACTCTCTCTGCCCTTCTCACCTCCTGCAAGATTTTTTCCAATCACACCTTCTGTAGGAGGCCTGCCTTGAAGAACTGAAACACTGTCTTTTGGAAATACAACCTGCACCCCCACCCCCATGCAGTCCTCCCCATTCCCCTCACCCCACCCTCTTTTTCTCTGTTCCCATAGCATTTATCCCCTTTTCACTTGCTTTTAAATTGACTTCAAAAAATGTTTACCTCAGCACACTAATAGTGACTTTTGAGGCTGGATAATTTTTTGTTGTGGGGAGCTGTTGGGTGCATTACAGGATGTTCAGCAGCATCCCTGGCCTCTACACGTTAGACACTAGTCGCAATCTCCACTCCTAACTTGTGACAACCAAAAATTTTTCTAGACGTTGTCAAATTACCCCTCACTGACAACTGCTGGTTTATAATTTATTACCAGTTACACCCAGCTACAATGTAAGCTCCAGGAGGGCAGGAATTTTTGCCTTTCTGTTTACTGTTGATCTCCAAGCACCCAGAGCAACAACTGGTATGGAATACGTGGATGAGTGAATATATATTTAAACATATGTGCACGTAGCATAGCATAAATTTCATATTCTTCTCTTAAGAACTGGTATTTAATTTAACCTCAATTTTTATGGGTGTTTACAAAAATAAAATAATGGTAATAATAAAAACACAGAAAATGCAGGGGAGAACATTTTTCTGTCTATATCTAGCACATTTTTCTGAAAGACAATCAGAATTGATCTATTTCCTGAAAGAATGTCCTGTATATCTATTATAAAAAGTAACACGACTCTTCTTGCATATTTCCTTTTTTCTGTCTACCAGCAGAAAACCTTTATTATGGGTATTGACCTTAGAAAGTAATTGCCTCAAGGGTGTCATCGCTAATGCCATTTTAAGAATGAAGGGCAATGATACTTAAGCAGGGCAACATTCACAGGCACAGAGGTGAAGAGAGATAAATTAATTCTTAAATGGACTTGGCTGTCATAGTCATTAGATTCAAATAGAGTTTAATTTATCACAGAGAATGGGTGGCCCTGCCTAAAGGGTGTCATGTGATGAAAGACAGTAGAACCATGGTTTTCAAGGCTGGAGGAAAGGGATGTGATTTTGTACCCATCCCACCACTACCACCAGGGGAAATTTGGCAGTGTCTGGAAACATTTTTGATTCTCTTACAACTAAAGGGTTGGGGAATGCTACTAGCATCTAGTGGCTAAAGATGCTGCTTACTATCCTACACTGCACAGGACTCTTCCCTACAACAAGGAGTTATTCAGCCCCAGTGCCATTAGTGCTGAGGCTGAGAAATCTCACAATAGAGCGTAATGCTTATAAGGGTGAGACCTAGAGCCTTCCTGTTCGAACCTGAATTCCTGCTCTATCACTCAGACAGACTGCGATTATTTATTCGGCAAATCTGCTTCTTTTTTTCTTCTGGGCACACAGGTAGACTAGTTATCCCAGCATTACTACATGACTAAGCTCTAGACTACGAAATGTGTGTGAAAGTGCTATATACCACTCTTAGGCCTGGCCCATAAAAATTTCCTAAAAAATCACTCATCTCTCTTTTTCCTTGTCTGTAAGGGATTTAGGGGATGGCAGAATAACAAGATAACAGTAGCCTAGGTACCTGAATGACTACATGAATCAGAGACATATGCCTCCTTCCCCCAGAGTGACCCACACTAGATAGTGCTGTGAACAAGTAAACTTCTATGCTGTTCTACTGCTGATATTTGGGAGTTGTTTAGACAGGTAGCCTCGCCTAGGTGTACGACCTATAGCAGGTTCTTTGACCATTTTGTTCCTCACTTTCCTCATCCGTAAATTGGTGATAATAATAATACCTCAGCCCTCAAACTATTGTATTAAAGTTCTTAAATAGTGTCTGGCATACAATAAGAATTTTTCTACCTGTAGGCCCACCTTGGTAAGCTCATATAAAGTGACCAAGTAGCATTTGTATGTTGACTTGTACACCCACAGGTTTGCTTTCTTCCTCCTTAAATACAGATATATTTTCAAATGGAATGCTAGGCTGTTTGTTTGCTTGTTTGTTTGCTTTGAGAGATAGGGTCTCATTCTGTTGCCCAGGCTGGAGTATGGTGGCACAATCATAACTCACTGCAGCCTCAACCTCCTGGGCTCAAATGATCCTCCCAGCTCAACCTCCCAAGTAGCTGGGACTACAGGCATGCACCACCACGCCCTGCTAGTTTTAAATTTTTGTAAAGATGGGTGTCACTCTGTTGCCTAGGCTGGTCTTGAATTCCTGAGCTCAAGTGATCCTCCCACCTCAGCCTCCCAAAGTGCTGGGATTACAGGGGTGAGACACTGTGGCTGGCAGGTATTTGTTTTTTAATAGATTCTCAACTTTAATATTTTTGTACAGTGCAGTTAAAGAATAAAGGTTTACAATTAGATTATTCTGTGCTGTCTTTCTGACTTCAATCCTCACTCCTTCATTTAGAAGACCAGCATTGTGTGCCAATTTTATGCTAGGTATTGTGTTAGGTATTGGAGATACAATCATGGGCAAAAACAGATATGGCCTATGGCTCCACAGAGTATACCATTTACCTAGAGAGACAGGCATTAATCATATGCTACTCAAATAATTATAGCATTTCAATTGTTAAAAAAATGTTATCTAGGAAACATTAACTACAACAGTATAGAACAGAGACCCAATCTTTGGAAGGATTAGTGGGGAAGGAGAGGGTCAGGGGAGGCTTCCATAGCAGGAGTCTTTGGAGCTGAGTTCTGGAGGATGAATAACAGCATACTACATGAAGAAGGAAAGAATCGGAAGAGAATTCCAGGAGAGGAAACAACATATGCAAATGTCCTGGGGCAGAGTATATCCAAAGAGCTGAGAGAGGAGAGGCTGCATGTGTCTGGATCACAACAAATGAAGAGTGGGAGGCAAGAAAGGCAGATGAGGCTGGAGAGGGGATGGCAGTGCAGGTAGGCATTTAAGAGCTTGTAAGTCATAGTAATAATTTTGGTGTCTAAAGTTTTTAAAGAGAATGAAGTGACATGATTAGATGCACATTTTGAAGACACCATGCAGTATGCACCTGAGAGAATGGATTGGTGGTGACAAGAGTAAAACCAGGGAGACCTGTTATATTATTTCTGAATTTCAAGTGAAATACAGTGACAAAGTCTGAAGTATAGAGATATTTAGGATGTAAAATCATCAATCCGTGGAGATGTATAACTTGTAAGAAGCAGAGATGAGAGAGGTGTCTAGAATAGCTTCCAGACTCCAGTTTCAGCAACTGGACAAATATTAGTGCTGTTTACTGAGACAGGGAACAATGGAGGTAGTCTACATTTGAAAAGAAGGTATCTTGGATTTGGTTTGAGATGAGTGTGCAGTCAGCTGACTTCACATCAGCTTTATTCTTTACTTACATGATTCTCCTACTTTTGTTTCTATCTATTCATTTATTTTTTCATTTAAAAAATCATTATTAAGCACTTACTATGGGATTCAAAAATGAGTGAGAAAGGCATAGTCTTTCAAGGAGTCTCTAGACTTGGAGAAAGTAATTAAAATGGGTGGTAATATTGGTTAAGGAAAAGAAAAATATTACTAAAACATAGATGAGTACATCTCAACCAGAATTGGGGGTGGAGGTTGGAAAATCTCGAAAGGTTTTTCAGTGGGAAATGTCTCTGATGAAACACTTATTAAACTTTCAATGTTTTTCTCTTTTTTTTTTTTTTTTTTTTTACTATTTTCATGCCCTCCTCCCACCTCACCCCCTAACGAACACACTTACATTTCTATTATTAGCTTGTATTCCAAGAAAAACACAATATGAAACATTCTGGAAAACTAAGAAGTCACATGGGATTTTGGACTATATTTGGAAAGCCAGGAATATCATGCTATAATTCCCAGAGCTTATTAACCAGCTACTTCTGATTAATTTAAATCCATTAATGTCACTCTCAAAACATCCTTAGGGAATTCTTTTCTGATTGTACCCAACAATTGTTTCCAATTTGACAGCCAGCATTCTTCAAGTCATACTTTTATACACCCGAGGGATGCTATCTATGTGACATGGCAATTTTCAAAGAGAAATAAATCCTCACCACTCATAATATTCAAGACACTTATTTAATTTTTCACCTCTTATTTACACGATAAAATTGCCTCTATTCTCTTGGTCCCACTGAGGTCTGGTTCTTCGGTTTGATTCATTCCAGCTGTCCTCTGCTTTTTCTTCCTTGGTTCTCCTGTCTTGATATCTCATCTTCCATTGATCACTCTCTTTTTTCAAACAACACTAGGTCCTCCTCACAAACCTATGCTCTTACTCAGAGAAGGCTACTTGTGGTTCCTCAAAACACTCCATCCTATTTCACGCCTTCGTTCATTTATACACACGTTACTGTCTCCTCTTGGGATGCCTTTCGCCCCTTATCCACTTGGGCAAGTCTTATCCTTCAAGACCCATATCAAGCATTCTCTTGTGATCAATCCTCATCACTTACCAACCTCCCTCCAAATCTGGAGAATTGAGTATTCCCCCTCTTAAGTCACACCCATCATACTGTTTACAATTATTTAAAATAGTCTGCATCTTTACTACACCAGGGTCCAAACTGAGTATTGTTTATCTTTATACCCTCTGTACCCAGACAGTGCCTGGCAAGAAGTGAACACTAAATTAGTGACTATTGAATAAATCAATTATTTGACAAATTAATACCAAAGCATGTCAAAAGGGCTTCTCAAATATGTGAGAGAGTTGGCTAAATATCCCTAATCTAATCATCCCTCATTTATTATATATTTTTAAATACTTCCAAAAATATGATTCTCAGTTCTAGTCCCTAGAAATTCTACTGGGTATCCAAGGGCTTCTGACTTTAAGAATCACGCTGAGAAGTATTGTTCTAAAGCAAGAACACTGTAGAATATAAACAGCATGAAAAGAGGAGGTGGGAAACCCTCCTCTTCCATACACCTATAACCCTTTGAAGTGAAACAAAATACCAGAGCACACATCACATACTTCACTAATTTATCCATCCATCTATCCATATATTCATTCATTTTTTTCTTCCATTTACCTATATCTCATATATCCTCCCTTTGAAGTGAAATAAAATCCCAGAGTGTATACCACTTACTTCATTTATTCCTCTATTCATTTATACACCTACACAACCACTCCTATACCCATCCATGTATCTATTCATCCATCTGTCCATCCATCCATCCATCCATCCATCCATCCATCCATCCATCCATCCATCTGGTGACCTATCCATGTATATACCCATCCATTCATTCAGTGACCTATCCAGGTACACTATCCATCCATCCATCCATCCATCCACCCATCCATCCATCCATCCATCTGGTGACCTATCCATGTGTATACCCAACCATCCATTCAGTGACCTATCCATATACACTATCCATCCATCTATCCATCCATCCATCCATCCATCCATCCATCCATCCATCCATCCATCCATATATCCATCCATCTATCCACCCATCCATCCATCTGGTGATGTATCCATGTATCCACTCATCCATCCAGTGACTTATCCATGTATCCATCCATCCATCCATCCATCCATCCATCCATCCATCCATCCATCTATCCATCCATCCAGTGACCTATCCATGTATCCATCCATCCATCCATCCATCCATCCATCCATCCATCCACCCACCCACCCAGCAACCTATCAATGTATCCATCCATCCATCATCCAAAATTGGTGATACCCTTCTGCACTGTGCTAGGAACTCTATCATAAACAGGTAGAAGCACAGGGAAAACCTGCCTGTAAACCAGACATCATTCCGGAAGAATTAGGGAAACAACTCATTGTCTAAAAAACTTCCAAGATGAACAAGAGAGACATGGTAGGGGTTTAAATTAAGAATGGGAACGTATCAGCTTTTTTCTGTCTTTTTCTCTTAAGAAAACACCCTGATCTCTGAATTAACATTATGTCCCTTCCAGTTCCCACTTTCTCTTGAGGATCGAACTAAGATTTTGAGGCCAGTCTGTGAATTCCATGTTTGCTTCAATGACCCTTTCAAATGTTCACATACTGCAGCTGGGTTGGCTTTAATCTGACCTGTGGGGATCAGCTCGGCTATTTCAGAGGCGTACAGAGTTGCTTCCCCTGCATTAGACTGCTCTTACTGTTACACATTTTTGATTCAGAACATCTATTCTTTGATTTTTCTTTTCCCCTTTGCCCTGCAGAGCTCCACAGACTTTAACCGTTTTTCTGTTGCTGAAATATGTCCCCACCTGGCACTCCCTGCAACTTCTTGAAAACTGCCATTTGGCTTACCTTCGTTTTTTGTTTTTCTTTCTTTTTTTTTTTTTTTTCTGAGACAGAGTCTCACTCTGTCACCCAGGCTGGAGTGCAATGGCACAATCTTGGCTCACTGCAACCTCCGCCTCCCAGGTTCAAGTGATTCTCCTGCCTCAGCCTCCTGAGTAGCTGGGATTACAGGTGTGCACCACCATGCCCAGCTAATTTTTGTGTTTTTAGTAGAGACGGGGTTTCACCATGTTGGTCAGGCTGGTCTCAAACTCTTGACCTCGTGATCTGCCTGCCTCTGCCTCCCAAAGTGCAGGTATTACAGATGTGAGCCACAGCACTCAGCCTGGTTTACTTTCTCACAAAATCAGCAACCTTTTTTTTTTTTTTTTTAAATCCATCACCCTTTTCTTCCCTCCAGGTAAGTCATTTTTATGGAGGCTGTCACTACTGCTGGAGCAAGAGGGCCTGGAATTCCTGATCTTGTTGCAAGGGAGGTGGGGCTGACCTGATCTCTGCCTCCACTGAGAGGCTGTGTTTCTCCTATTGTTTACAGTCTCCAGCACACGGCAGGCTTTTCTGTCCTCCTGCCTGCCCTGCCCTGCATCCAGCCATCATTTCTTGTCATCTCAGAAGCTTCAGAGTAAATTCTCTTTCATTTTTGCAGTTCCTCACAGGCTCAGTGACTTAGCCAACTTGTTTTTCCTCCCCCCATGTCAAAAGTGACAAATAACCATTCTGAGACAATCTGACAGATGACTCAGCAAGTGGGCTGCCAGGTGATGTGGCTTTTCCTAAGGCAACCCAGTGAACTGCTGAAGAAAGGGGAACTGAGAAGTGAACCAAGATAAAACAAAAACCGGAAAACAAAAAACCCTCTTTTCAATGGGAAAAGGTGTAGGCCACTCCTCCTGTCTGCTGGCTAGATGCAGATGAGCCTGCAGGGGGCTCCGTGCACAGGGAGTTGGCAGAGCAATGAGAATGACAGAGCCTGGGTCACTGCCTTTCTGTGGAGAAGATCATTTACCCAACACACACATGAGCAAGCATTGTATCATCTTAAGCCACTGAGATGCAGGGATTGTTGGTTACAGCAGTTATCTTCCCCTGACTGAAATAAAAGGGATATGAACACTCACAAGACTTTTAGGGGAGAAGGGCACTATGCTGTTCCTTCCTCATGCCCAGGAATCAAAGGCGTGCAGGGTGAGGCTCTACCACAGCTGCACATCCTTAGTGAGATGGGGCTTTAACATGGAACACTCACTGATGGATCCTTTGCTGGCTGAAAGGGGCAGTGTAGCAGTCATTCTCCTCCAGGTCTGGCAGTGTCTCCTTGTCCAGCCTCATTGGCTTCTTAGGTAACCATCTCCGAAACCTGCTTATTTGTTTATCGATCCTGTGGTACATGGAAGGCAAGACCAAAGGGTACAGCATGTCAGCAATGCCCTGAAACACAGGAGGAAGGTCTCCGCAGAGCCACAACTATCATACCACACATTCCAGGCCCTCTCACTGCACTCAGGATATCCTTGTTTTATAGATGGAAAGAAGACAGCCAGAACTCTAGTGTTGTTTTGATTTCACCAAGTGGCCTCAATATTATTACTGTTTGTGAAATAGCAGCTGTGAGTTAGATGTCCACCCACATGCCAATAATAAATGACCAAGCAGTCCTAACAAGGCTGGAAAGCTCTGAAAAGGATTCCAACAGTCCCTTAAGCAAGCAGCAGAGATCTTAACTTACATTCTGTAGGTTCTAAAAAATTCATTTTGTGTTTGGAAAACATCTGAGGTCAGAGAAGAGCTCTAGCTGTAATTAACTTTCGGGAGGGGGTGCTGGCAGCACATCCTGGGAGTTGTGCAGAGAGCTCCATGCCATGATTTGCTTCCTGCCTCTCCCACCTCCCCTGAGCAGCCTCTCAGCAGGCAGCCGGATTTTTGGCTTTCATTGATCTCTTTTTAAGCAGGCTCCATGGTTCTCATGGTGCTAGGGCATCGTGACACACATGTGTCACTCTAATGAAGCCAAGTCAATGAAAACAACAGTATCCTAAAAGTGGTTTTCAGCTACAGTTTTCTCTCTGGCTATCTCCCTGGTCCCTCGGTTCCACTGACTTCTGCTGATGAAAACATCTGGCTTCCAAGTGAACAGTTCCCAATCACTGTTCACAGAAAAACACCAGAAGGCGCAAAAACCACACCAAACTTTAAAATGATAGCACTACCTCAAGTGTCTATACTACTGGAAAAAATACCTTCTAAATTTATTAACTGAAAACACGTGGAATTTGGTCATGCTTTATTTTTTTCCTAATTAAAACAATATATTTACATGGCAATGTATTCTTTTCAGTGAATGTTATGGCTAATTTACTGTGTCAACTTGGCTAAGTTAAGGGATGTCCAGATAGCTGGTAAACATTATTTTGAGGTGTGTCTGTGGGGTTGTTTCCTGAAGAGATCAGTGTTTGAGTTTGTAGACTTAGTAAAGAAGTTGGTCCTCACCAACACAGGTGGGCACCATCTAATCCATTGAGGACCTGAATAGGACAAAAAAGTGGAGGCAGGGTGAATTTGCTGTCTGCTTGAGATGGAACATCCATCTTCTCCTGCCCTTGGACATTGGCCTTCCTAGTTCTCAGGCCTTTACACTGGAAATGGGACTTACACCATCAGGTTTCCTAGGCCTCCTTCTTAAAAACTGCAGATTGCGGGACTTCTTGCTCTCCAGAATCTTATGAGCTAACCGTGCAAATCCTGATCCAAGTCTGAAGGCCAGAGAACCAGGAGCACTGATGTCTAAGGGCAGAAGAAGAGAGATGTCCCAGCTCAAGCAGCAGCAAATTCACTATTCCTCCATCTTCTAGTTCCACTCAATGGGTTGGATGGCACCCACCTGCACTGGGGAGGATCAGCTTCTTTACTAAGTCTACTGATTTGAATGCTAATCTCTTCTGGAAACATTATCACAGATGCACCCCAAAATAATGTTTTACCAGCTATCTGGGCATCCTTTAGCCCAGCCAGGTTGAACATATAAAATTAACCATCACAGTGAAACTCTCAGCTGAAGATAATATTATTTATATAACCAATCAATTCCAAACTAAAAAATAATGGTAAACTTCTCTTTCACTATCTCCTTTATTCTCAGCATTGTTCCAGCCTCACCATGATCCCAACTCTGCTTGGTGGTGGCTGTCCTTCTTCAGAACTCCCAAAGGGTCAAACTGAAAAGAATCTCACAGTGGCTCTAGGACCCTCCTCCCCAAGAGAACCCTCCGCCCCAAAAGAAATATACTTAAAATATAGTGAGATGATGGGCTTTAGAGAAGCAGCATGACACAGTGGTTGACAACATGAACTATGGGGCTGGAATGCCTAGATTCAAATCCTGGCTCTGTTAATATTAACAGCAAAACCTTGGGCAAGTGATTTAACTTTGCTGAGCCTCAGTTTCCTTATCTATAAAATGGGCATGATAATGATACCCAATTCGTAGAGTTGTGATGATGAACTTATTAATACATATATAAAGTCTTTAGAACTGTCTGGTATACAGGAAATGCTGGCTATTATTACTGTTTTTCTCTTTTTTCCAAAAATAAAAATATTGAGCAACCAGCTTGCCGCTTAACATTTCTGTTTTTTGCTTTTTAATTCAAAGTTAATTGTGTTTCACCAGCATCTATCACTAGTCTATGCTCAATGATTTAGTCCTTATATGGACACATAAATTAGACTTCCTCAGCTAAGATGGTGGCCTTCCCCATGGCTCTTGGCTTTATTTCATTTGATTGCCTTAAAACTCATTCAAGAAAGAGGCCATTGGCCCAAAGGTTTTTTATTATAGAGCTTTTACCTCCCACACATCTCCAGTCTGCAGGACTAATCAGATCACACTTTGTAAAATTCACATTCCCACAGAATCTGGGCTCTGTGTGCGATGACTATGAATTGAATCCAGCTGGGTACAGTGCTCAGCATGGATAAAAACAAATAAAGCTGTAAAAAAAAAAAATCAGGCATAACTACTCTATAGGAGTGAAATGGCAGCTTTCAGCAGCCAGCCTGTGGCACCACAATTTAATTGAAATGTGGAGATGATGAAAAGAGAGTAGAACAGGGTAATTAAAATGATTAATTAATTGAAATATGTGAAAAAGAGGAAGCAAGAAGGAGGCAAGAGGATGCTGCTTGGCATGGTAAAAGGAAGCTGAGATTTGTAACTGGGGTGGCTCTCTTGCGCCTCAGCTGTATGACCTTCCACAAGTTATTTACCCTTCAGAGCCTTCTTTTCCAAGGTTATAAAATAGAGGTAATAGTAACAATAATCATCATTATCATCATTATCATCTTACTGACCTTACAGAGTGGTTAGTGGGCTCATAAAACATGGTGAGTATGAAATGCTTTGGAGAAGCTGCCAGACAGATAGCAAGCATTATTAATAATTTCTTAAGGACCACACAGGACTAACATAAAAGTGATGGAAAGCAAAGGAACTGGGCTTTTTAAAAAACTGTGGTGGAAGAAACACATTCAAAAGAACATCTTAAAAATAAAATCCCCGTGATCTGCCTGCCTTGGCCTCCCAAAGTGCTGGGATTACAGGCGTGAGACCAGCCTGGCCAACATAGTGAAACCCCATCTCTACTAAAAATACAAATATTAGCCAGGCATGGTGGTGTGCACCTGTAATCCCAGCTACTTAGGAGGTTGAGGCAGGAAAATCACTTGAACCTGGGAGGTAGAGGTTGCAGTGAGCCGAGATCGCACCATTGTACTTCAGCCTGGGAGATAGAGTAAGACTCCGTGTCATAAATAAATAAATAAAATCCCCGAGACACTGGTTGGGCATGGGGGCTGGAGGGTGTGAACTGGCCTTCACTGAGGAGCCTGAGCAGAAGCAGGTGGACAAGGCATGTTGTCCAGGTTCCATTACACACGGCTGTGCATGCTGTGTGCACTTCACTACGACTAAACCAAACACTCAAACATGGTCAGCAGTTTGTGTCTTCCTCTGGTTACCAGAGTTGCCCCCACAAAGATGTACACACCAGAACCTGTGAATATGTTATGTTACATGGCAAAAGGGACTTTGGAGATGTAAGGAAGGTTACAGACCTTAAGATAGGGGGAGCATCCTGAATTACTCAGATGGGCTCAAGTTAACCACATGAGACCTTTGAAAGCAGAACTTTCTCTAGCAGGAGGGATGTGGCAGAAGGAGAATCAGAGAGATTCAAAGTTTGAGAAGCACTTGACCCACCATTGCTGGCTTTGAAGATGAAAAGAGCTAGGAGGCAAGGAATGCAGGCAGCCTCTAGAAGCTGAGGAAGACTTTCAGCCAATAAAGAAATGGAGATCTCAGTCCTATGATTACATGAACTGAATTGTGCCAGCAACCTAAATGAACCCAGAAGCAGATTTTCCCCAGAGTCTCCAGATAAAAGCCCAGGGTGACCAACACCTTGATTGCAGCCTTGGGAAACCCTGAACAGACAAACCAGTTGAGCCTCCTCTTCCTGGACCTCTGACTTACAGAATTGTGAGCTAATACATTTGTGTAGTCTTATGCTGTTAAATTCGTCGCAATGCGTTAGGACAGCAATAGGAAATGAATACACCTCTTAAAACACTCTCGGTCTGATCCTCTCCTCAAGACCTGGCAACAGCTAGCCAGGCTCCCACTGTTAAGGCTGCCATTCCACATGCTGTTCTCACCTCCCAGTTAGGTGGCTCTGGGAACAAGAGTCTATCTCTCTGTGGCAGGATAATGAGTGAGTGCTCCCCTAGTCTGCTCTTCCACAAACACATTCCTGTCTCCAAACTTTGCCACACTCAGACTTCACTTAGGGCCCCCTTCAATCATGCAAGACAGAAGCACATAATGCAAAAGCCACTAGGCTGGAAAGCATAAGATTCAAGTTGGACTCTTGATTCTGTGGTCATACATCAGTGTGGCCTGGGACAAGCCCTTTATCCTCACCTAACCTTAGTGCTCTCATCTCTAAAATGATGATCAGCCAGATATTCTTTAGATACTACAGGTTGTTGGTGATTTGGGTGATAATATCTTGATTATGTCACTTATGTGATTAATTCAAACTTGAATTAATGATAACCTTTAGTATACAATGTTAGATAACCTTTAGTATACAATGATGGACTTTGGAGTCAGCTGGAAGCTGATGATTCACATTCCAGTTTTATAGACCTTGCTGGGCAAGTAATTAAACCTCTATGAGCCAACAGAATCCATAGAACAAGGCAATGGTAAGGATTAAACATGATCATGGATATCAAGTGCTTACACAATGCCTTGGATGCACAAAGGGCTCGATTGAGTGATAGTTTCTAGGACGAAGAAAATTATGGTGACAATAATGATGAACTTCTACATAGATTGCTCTTTTCCCAATAAAAGTTCAAAATCTGTGAATCTCCCTAGTAGATTGATGTCTGTGTTCCCACCTAATAAACATCCCTAAATAGTTAACCCTGAAATTTACTTAGATATGTTAAAGTCTGGAAACCAACTAACCAGAAAGCACCCCATTTGTCTCTTCAGTATAGGAGTGGACTTTAGTATAGACTTTACTTAATGAAGCCTCCACCAATAGGGAATAGAAAAGAGAAAACATTGGCTTAATGATTTAGCATTGATTTTGGTTGGGTATGTTGTCACTTTGTTCCATTTTTGCTATTTACTGAGCAAAAGCCCTCTTACACACTACACAGGCAAATCAATAAAGGGAAAATGGATCAGACACTTGGGCATTTCTGGCCCTAACTTGTCAAGTTAATATCTGGACTACAATGTGAGTTATTTTTACAGAAAGTTGTTCTGATGGTAAGCTCAGGTTTCCTTCATGCTGATTCATGATAGGTGAGATTCCGGGTACCTGGGAAGAGCTGACAATACAGTATAAGCAAATGGGTACAAACTTGCCAGCTCTGCGATGGCTTCCCAAGTTTGGTCTTGGGAAGGTTCTATTTGATCTCTTTGACCCTCAGTTCCCTCAGCTCTAAAGGGGAGATAATCTTACCCAACTTAGGAGAGATGATGATTAAGGAAAAGGCCACATATGTGCAAAGGATCTTGCTCCCAACATGCTAACCTGTCAGGAGACCTTTATAAACTGCCTACAATGTACAGAATGCCAACCTGCATGCTGTGGGCATAGCCTGAGGAAGTAGAAGAAAGGTCATTTCCCTTGAGCCACTAACAACCCAGGAGGGACTGTACACTAATGATAACCTAATCAGACTGAATTAAATGAAGCAGGCCTACTTTGAAGACACCTACTTTTCCCCAGTAAAGAATATTATAATAATAGCATCATGTTTCTAACAGATTACATTATCAGCGATGATATGCCTAGAGGGAACCTACAGATGAGCTTTCTTTTCTTTTCTTTTCTCTTTTCTTTTCTTTTCCCTTCCTTCCTCCCTCCCTCCCTTCCTTTCTTCCTTCCTTCCTTCCTTCCTTCCCTCCTTTTCTTTCTTTCAGTAGCACACAGCTCTACATTACAGTAAATGACACCCTCTTGGAATGATAATAGACAGCAGAGGCATGAATTTGTTTTTCATTTTCTTAGAGCCAAGTCTCCAGATTTACAAGCCTCTGCCTGGATAGAATTTAGAGATCTTAGAAAGCTAATGTTATTCTTTTAGGTCACAGGGGTACTATTTGGAGCATAGCCTAAATACCTTATAGAAGACTCCAAAGGCTTTGGAACATTTACATGTATTAGTTTTTTAAAACGAGGATGAAAATACACAAGCCATTTTGTCCTTTTGCCTGTATGCTCATCTGATAAGTTGTGACTGCATTGAATGTATAATGCAATACAGTCCAGCATTCACACTGTCAAGCCTCACCCAGGATCAAGTCAGGCAGAATGCATATGGGGGGTGGAAGGAAGGAGTAGTAATGAGACTCCACCTACAAGCCACCCATAATAATCAGATTTGTTATTTTGTAATCATATCTTCCACAGACTATATTTGCAATATTTTATGAAGGCAAAAAAAAAGGGCAGCCAAAAGATGATAAATTCCTCCTTTTTATTGGATAGGCAATTTATAATGGCTATAAGCCTGTCCAAAGATAAGAAAGAAAGCAGCATTTAATAGACCAAGTACATGGATAAAAAGAGCATTAACTCCAAAAATCCATGTCTGAACTACATGAGTATGCTTTATGAGAGTCAAGTGATTTTTTAAAATAAAGATATTATGAAGAAGTGCTTTATTTCTCTGCCTGCTCAGAAACCTTAGAGATATTAATTCATTTATTCTTAGGGAATAGGTTTGTTTCAGAGATGCTTTCATGGATTAATAAAATTCAATATCACTTATATAAATGAAACTCCAAGCTAACTTAAATATCAAGATTTCATACGACGGGAATTTTAGGATATTGGAGGTCAGTGTTGCATTATTGATGTACTACTAGATGGCAAGTTGTATATGTGGCCTTCAATTTAGAATATCAGAGCTGGCTACAAAGAAAAAGACACTCTCCATCATCTAAATCAGTCTGTTCTGATGTGAAATGAAGAGTTAAGGTAGATGCAACATTTTCTGACAACGTGGATTTTAAATGTACACCATACACTGGGCTTCAGAAAGTCACACATCCCAGTGATATCAAAGACTTAATTCTATGTGGTATGCAATGAAGCCTATTTTGAGAGGCCATTCTGAATCAACTACCTTCGTTGGGATTTCTTTTTCCTTTAGCTTGGCCCAGAGTCTTCCAGTACCTTCCAATGCCTAAATTCTTCTGTAGTTGTGATGTGTGCGCTAGAAGTAGCACCAATGTTTCCAGCCCAAAGACTAGTGTTTTGTAAGCCATTCCTTCAGCTTTAGAAAGAAGGATTTCTCGGCCGGGCGTGGTGGCTCACGCCTGTAATCCCAGCACTTTGGGAGGCCAAGGTGGGAGGATCACGAGGTCAAGAGATCGAGACCATCCTGGGTAACACAGTGAAACCCTGCCTCTACTAAAAATACAAAAAAAAAAAAAAAAAAGTCAGCTGGGCGTGGTGGTGGGCGCCTGTAGTCCCAGCTACTCGGGAGGCTGAGGCAGGAGAATGGCGTGAACCCGGGAGGCGGAGCTTGCAGTGAGCCGAGATCGTGCCTCTGCACTCCAGCCTGGGCAACACAGTGAGACTCCATCTCAAAAAAAAAAATAAATAAAAGAAAGAAGAGTTTATTTCTCAAGCTCTTATTCACTCAAAGCCTCTCCTCTGCACACATGGAGAACATGTGATGGGTCACAAGGTCATAGTCTCCTCTGCCTTCCTCCTCTTGGCTCCTGTTTTAAATCCTGTCCCCTCTTTCTCCTTCCTCTACCATGAAACTTATCAAAGTAGCAGTGAACCCTCATTGCCTCTGATTCATCCAGCCCTCATCCTTCCACCACTGGCTGTAATTTGGTTTCCATTATCCTCCACTCTATAGTGATGGTTCTCAACATGTGGTCCAGGATCAGTAACATCAGCACAGGTATCACTTGGGATCTTGATGGAAGTGCAAATTATCGAGCCCCACCTCAGACCTACCAAATCAGACACACTGGGGATGCGCCCAGTGATCCGTGTTTTTAAAAGCCCTCCAGATGATCCTGACACATGTTTGAGAACCATCACTCCATGGAGACTGCTGTCACAGAGATTACTGAAACTTCTAAATATCCAAAATTGATTCTCATCTCTGATTGATCATCAGAAGCTGAAGCACAGCCCTCCTTGTGGAATCTCATTCTTGGTGCCTTTGACACCACCCTCTCTTCATTCTCCTTCTACTTCTCTAATTGTTCTTTTTCATTCTCCTCAGGTCTCCCCCATCCCATTAATGCAGATTTTCAAAGGAACTGCCACAGGCGCTCTTCTCTTCACCCTTTACATCTCCTCCTGGGATATTCCATACACTCCCCTCGCTAAGGTCATGCTGACTCCCACACTGGATTCTCTAGCATTACCACTCTCTTCAGCTGCTTTGCCATCAGTTCCAAAGGCCTTTAAGACACCAACACCTAAGAAATCTACTGTTGAGTTATAATACAGAATCAATTTTAAAAAGTCAACTTCCTCACCACACCTGTATCTCCTCTCGATTTCCAGTCTTCTTTTACCTCCAACAATATTTTCCCTAGCCCTTAGGTGTCAGAACCTCATTCTCCTCAACTCTGAATTTCCAAATAGCTGCTAAGTGCTAAGCCCTTTTGCCTATATTTCAGAATATTTCTCACATGCTTTGCCTTTTTGCTCTAGATTATTTTTTTATCCATCCAGGGGGCAGAACTCCAATCAAAGAGTGAAAACTAAAGAGATAGAGATTATAGCTTATTTTAAAGAAGAACTTTGTAACAGTCACAGCTGCCCACAGATGGGCCAGGGAGTTTACTATCTCCAGAGATGTTCAAACATAGACTGGCTGACCAGAAAGCAGAAGTTTAAGTATCTGATGAATGGTTGGACTTGATGGCATTTAATATCCCATAAAACCTTGAGATTCTATAGTTCCTTTTATCACTGTTTTCTTTTAAGCCCTTATTGTCCATCCCACCCCCACTGTTTGAGCAAATGTTTTCACCCCAAGGCTGTGTCTGAAACTTTAGGCAGACCTGGTTTTTCTATGCTTCTTTTCTTCGTGATTTCCTTTCTCCCTACTCCAATCCTCATACACGCATGTGGAGATTCATTTGTTCATTCACTCCATCTCCTATGTGCTTGGTGCTGGAAATATAGAATTGAATGAGTCATCCTTGCCTTCAAATACCACCCAGGTAGAGAGCTAGACACCTACATCATAGATTACAGCACAGGGTGATGGGGCCATAGGATTCTAATGGAAAAGCAGAAAAGAGATCATTTGACCTGGGCAAAAGGCAAAAATGTGGACTGAGTTTTGAGGACTGAGTAGACCTCACCTTGGTGAACAATAAAGGAAAGGATCTTCCAGAAGGACCACTATACGCAAAAGCACATAAACCCACGTGAGCATAACATATGTTTGGAAACGATGAGCTCAATATGGATGGAGCAAAGAGTGGTGGGAGGGAAGCGATGGGCGAGGACAGTTTATAAAGGGCTGTAATTAAGCTAATGCTTTTAACCTTATTGTGATCACTCTATGGTAGCCACCAAGTGACAATAATCAGATTTGCTACTCAGGAGATGAATAGAAGAGAGTTTGGAAGGGGTCAGAAAGGAGGCAGGAAGATAAACTGATGTTTAGGCAAGAGGTGATGGGAGCTCAGCCTAAGTCAATGGCAGTGGGAATGAAGAGTAATATATAGACTTTTAGAAATATTCATCTGCACCCGCAGAATTTGAGAGACTGACTAGATGAGCAAGCAAAACATCCAAAATGACCCTTAGGTTTTTTTTATTTACATTTTTAGAGATGGGGCCTCACTATGTTGCCCAAGCTAGGCTTGAACACCTTGACTCAAGTGATCCCACTGCCTCAGACTCCCAAGTATCTGGGACTACAGGTGTGTGCCACCACACCTGGACCCTTAGGTTTTAAATTAGGTGACTGTGTGGGAAGTAGAGCCAATGCCTGTATAGAGAATATAAATGGAGAAAATGACTACTTGGCAGATAAACTCAGAACAGTTAGTGGACTAGTTGCTAGAGGATAGAAGAAAGGAGAGACTTACAGATGGATAACAAATTCAGAAGCACGACAGAAAGAATAGAAGGATACCCTTCTGCAAAGACATAATTATTACATGTAATTATTAATTATTACATGTATTAATTATTACATGTAATAAGTATTAATAGATACTATTTGTGCACATCAGCTACATACTAGGCACTAAACCTCACATAAACCATACAGGGGAGAAGTTAATATCATTTTATAAATGTGAAAAACTTAGGCTCAGAGAAGTGAAGTAACCTGCCCAAAGTCATCCAGTGCCAACATAGGTTTTATGACCCCAATGTGCTCTGTTCCACACATACTGACTTTGCTGACTTGGCAATTCCAAACAAGAATAAGACTTCTCCCAACCCTACATTCTTTTTAGAATCTAGAATACTGAAACAGTATCATGTACAAACTTGATATTTCCACTTAGCCCTCAAAGTTGGGAGAAACCTCTCTTCACCTTGCTGTGTTTCCTTCAGGTTTTCTTTGATATTGGTTTTTGTTTTCCCGTCCCATAGTCAGTCAAATCCGTATTTTAATGAGAAGATGGAGCTTGGCCTATCATACAGACCAATGGTTTCCAAAACATCGTCCCGTGACCAGCAGCATTAGCTGCAGCTGGGAATCCATTAGAAGTGAAAATTCCCCATCCCCACTGCAGATCTACTGAACAAGACACTCTGGGGTTGAGGCCTAGAAATCTGTGCCTTAACAAGGTGATTCTGATGCTGGCTGGAGTTTGAGAACTATTAATATAGGCTAAACTGTTATATCAGGATTGTACAGATGATTACAGTGTGACAAGGTAGCAATCTAAATCATGGTGAATCCAAATGTCATGTCAACTGCTTAATGAAAGAACTGCCAATAAGCTTGCTCGCAGGCAATTTTTGAGAAACAACATTTTCACTTCTTTGGAGGTCAGTTCTCACACTGTACTTCACTGAGTAAACATGCATTTGAGTAAACCCACCATAATGTACCAACTACTCTTTTATTTATCACTCAACATAGCATATAAACAGAGGGAACCTGAATTCTAAATTTCATAGAGTTGAACTAACTAGGATTTTCAGAGAAATTTACTAGTTTCCCAGTTTAACCATCAGCTCAGCTCAGCTCAGGGTGAATGAAAACATAAGATCAATTAAGATTTTGAAATTAGATTCTCCAATGATCACAACAGAATCAAATTAGAGGACATCATCATTGATGCATTCCCCTTCTCCCTAGCTCCTCAAAAAACAAGGAAAAACAAGCTTTCGGAGGATACAAAGTATAGTAGATGCAATCTTCATCTGGTGGGTTTTTTTTTTCTTTTTTTTTTTTTGGCAGAAAAGAGGGTAGGAAGGGCACCTGAGTGAGGCTATACATCTGCATATGTTATTAACAAAATATTACTAACATAGGAGGACCCCACTCATGAAGTCAAGTAGCCAGCAGCTAAGGATGACTATCTGCACTTCAAGCTTTCAAATTACATATAGTGGAGGGAGGAATTTTTGTAGAAAAAAATAACATTGGCCAGGCGTGGTGGCTCACCCTGTAATCTCAGCACTTTGGGAGGCCGAGGTGGGCGGATCGCCTGAGGTCAGGAGTTCGAGACTAGCCTGGCCAACACGGTGAAACCCTCTCTCTACTAAAAATACAGAAATTAGCTGGGCGTGGTGGTAGATGCCTGTGATCCCAGCTACTCAAGAGGTTGAGGCAGGAGAATCGCTTGGAGGCAGGAGAATCGCTTGAACCCAGGAGGCGGAGGTTGCGGTTAGCGGAGATGGTACCACTGCACTCCAGCCTGGGTGACAGAGCAAGACTCTGTCTCAAAAAAAAAAAAGAAAGAAAGAAAGAAAAAGAAAAAAGAAAAAGAAAGGGAAGGGAAGGGAGAACATCTAGGCCAAAGATATTGGGATTTTTGATAATTTATCTAATAGAATGGGCTAAAAAGAGGGGGCGAGGGATGAAAGCCTGCACATTGGGTACAGTATACATTGCTCAGGTGATGGGTGCACCAAAATCTCAGAAATCACCACTAAATAACTTATCCACGTAACCAAAATCCACCTGTTTCCCAAAAACTATTGAAATTAAAAAAAAAAAAAAGAATGGGCTAAAAAGCAATAGCCCCAGCACACTTGCAGATGAATGGCAATCCCCCCAAGTGGGAAGAAGTTACTGGGAAGACGCGGAGAGGGACGTTTTCATCTTTTTTTCTCCTCAGGCTAATCAGACACAGCTGATTTTAAAATGTGCATGGCAGCCAACTTTCCCATGTGACACAGGCTCATCTTCCCCAGCTTATAGCTCCTTGTCATTGTTGGAGCACACGGGCCAACAGAAAGACAAACACTGTCAGGACAGAGCGTGCTACTAACCTGCTCATGAACTTGTAACGGCGGGGCAGGTAATAGATTTTTCTCCTGGAAGAACAGCAAAAATGAAGCCAGTCGAGAAGAAAACCCATCGTCAGTTACAGTTTGAACTAGCAAGGAAGGAAAGGAGATTGAAGATAGAAGCCTGTAAGAGGTGAAGAAGAAAAAACTAAAAAGAGATTAACAGTGAGAAATACAGTGGGAACACAGGGCATGCGTTTTTGAGTCATGAAATCTTATGAAACAGTTTCCATTGATATTTCTTCCTCTACCCATTACCATAATTTTTTTTTAATGGTTGCTCCTTGCCTACAAAGCATGTGCAGTATGATAATTTGGAGTGATTGGTATTTGCACAGCTTCAGCTGAGGTCAGCTTTTTTCCCCAGGAAAATGCAAAGATGGATCAGAGGGCAACATACATAATTTAGTGGGCACGCTATTATATTAACTAATATTTATATAGCATTTTAAGTTTACACAAGACACGTCTCTCATGGTATAGACAGGAGTAATATAAATATAAATAAATATATATATATGTATTTCACAACCAGTATGGGAAGGACACTCACTTGTCAGCATCAACACCCAGCTGTACATAACCACACCGGGGCACACTGGCTAACCACTGGCCCTGGCTTTAGATGAATTAAATAAGTAAAATCAAGGAATTCTGGAAACTATACAAAAATCAGTCTTATTCTGTCAGATTGCTATATATCTATCTTTTAAAAATGTTAAAAATGAAAATTCTTGGTGTAGTTTGAATGGAGAATACATGTATTAGATTCTTTATTAAAATGCAACCTCACTTTCCATATTTCAGGCTTCAACCGAAACTGAATGGAATAATAATGAAACAGGTGCTTTTTATGTATATCCCGAACTGTTACTGAACTCTCTGACTTCTGTAAATGGTAAGTTTATATATCACCAATTTTTTTGCGTATTTGTGAAAGCTTTAAAACACAGGCAAAACTATAGAGACAATAAAAAGATCAGTGGTTGCCAGAGGTACAGGTCGGGGGAGAAGGAAGGTGATGAAACACAGGAGACTTTTAGGGCAGTGCAGCTACTCTGCATGATCCTGCAATGGTGGATACATGATATGCCTTTGTCAAAACCCACAGAACCACACACACAGAGTCAACCCTAGAGTAAACTATGGACTTTAGTTAATAAGAATTTATCAATATTGGTCCACCAACTTTAACAAATATATCACGCTAATGCAAAATGTTAATAATAAAGAAACTGTAGGCTGGGGGAGAAGGGGTATATTGGAACACTAGTATCTTCTCAATTTTCTATAAACCTAAAAATTTCTCTAAAAAGTAAGGTCTATTAGTTATAAAAAATATCCATGGACATATAAGTATTTAAGAAGCAGGTTTTACTGTAATTTCTCATAAGAAATCTATTCCTATATTTCCTTTTAAACATTATAGGGATAAAAATCCATGGAGACTAAACTTGGGATTCAGAAGTACAGAAAATTATGAATCTACAGAAAATTATGAATACAGGTAAGATTCTTTGCGTATTAAAATTCAGCTAAAATGATGTTTGTACATTTTGTTGAAATGATGTAGTAGGAGAATTCCTCCTTTGGAAATGCATGTATCTCCTTAGACTAGAGTTATTTGTCTGAAACTGTGGACACAATAATAGCAAAAGTTTTTAATCCATCAGGTTACAACAAGTGAAGCCATGTTTAGTAGGTAAACCTACATCAATATTAATGAGGTCAATTAGTGTCACACATTAACAATATTTTCTTCTAAAATTGTCCTGCAGGAATTCCTATATCTAAAAAGAAGATAATTGTTCATGTTCATTTTCATTTCATTGCTTGGTTCACATTCTCTCAATGCTGCATTAAAACAGTATTAATGCTGCTTGGAGGCAGCACATTTCTGCTGTGTAGTAGGCATGCAGAAGTGTTATTCATGATGTGGCCAGGCCCTTCAGATACAAAATCCTTTGCAGGTAGTAAGAGAATTGGCTTTGCATTACCATTGCTCAAGTTTCTATCATCTCCCTGGGTTCTTTGTTACAGAAGTGTGTTCTGGCAGAAGGTTTTATGAGATTTATTTATACTGGAGAGGGGTGTATAAATTTCTATCTAGACATATTTTGTAGGGTTTTCTTTCTTTCTCTTTCGGTTCTTAGGTATAATATGGTATTAATCCACATTAGACACTTATTATATCATTGATACATATTTGGCTTTAACTATTATAGTATAAAAATTTTCAGTGGAATCTAAATTGACATTCCTTATCTCTCCCTAGTGGATATATATATGTATTCCTTTTTTTAATCCTTGAGTTCTCAGATTTTCTTTTTAACAGTTAAATACAAAAATAAATCATAAGATCAGAACTATATTTATTATCCATTTTGAGAATTTTGCCTCCAGGAAAACAGATGCTAGAAATCATAGCCTCTATTTTGACTTGGTATTAGGACATACAGGCCAATGAACAAAGAAGATAAGATGCACCAGGGAGATACATTACAAGCCTGTGAATGGAAATTGCCTTTCTCTAAATGAGTCCCTAACCCTTCTCTCTGTCTCTATAAATGTTCTTTGTCTCCACAACTTTCCACAGCTCATTAAGAGACAGACTGTAGAGTTGGTACCAATTTGCCTCATTTCTGTCACCTAATGTGGTCTTACTGGCAAATTGCAAACCAAAAGTACGTTATTCTTCGAGTCCCCTCAGAACTGTCCTTGGGACTACATCCATCCATCTTTTTAGCAGATTCCATTACAAAAGACCCACATATCTTGGCATTTCTAATTTGAGGTTTAATATTTTATTTCTGTATAGCAAATGCAGATCACTTTTCCATAATCCATAGGGAAAATAAAAATATTCATTGTGAAATGAAGGTAAATTAATCCTTTTAAATAACTAAGGAATACAAAGTATTTTCTATTCCCCTTGGAACAAATATCAATATTCGTGTTTGCAAAGTATTTATGACTTTTTAAAATTAAAAAAAGTGGTTTTTTTTGTTTTTTTTTTAAAAAGAAGATCACACTGTCATGAAATTTCTTGCACTTGTATCTACAGAAATACATTTTAATGTTTTTCTGGAAGAGACTAGTCAGTAAAGAACATGAAAACATGCCCCTGTGCAACTGCTGCCTGTGGTCTGGCTGTTCAAAGCAGCAGTACACAGGACTTCTAAAAATGGCACTTTGGAAATAAAAATGCCACTTGGAAAATGCTTCTTTATTACAGGCACTGGAAATATCTACCTGCTAAGAACTAAATTAGCCAGAATTTTTCACAAAAAGCCATGAAATCATTATTGGCCATGAAGGCTTATTTGCATATCCTAAACATTTGAAAGATTCCCTCCTCTAATGGCCTTCCAATCTGCATTTCAGTTTTATTTGTTCTGAGAGAGGAGAACATTAGATTTACAGTGAAGCAGCAGAGAGAGTGGAATAAAATACATTTCCACCTACCTGAAAGGCATTCTTACATTCATTTGTTCTGCATATCTTCCAAGGACTTCCCATGGGGCATGCAACTTCACAAAGATAATGTCACTATTTATTAGAGAGGACTGAAACAGAAAAAAGAAACTAAATTGAAAAGTATATTCAAGGCTCCCACAGTTTAAGTTGAGTTGGAACTTAGAATGCATGGACCTGGACAGAGTTTATGATTTGGGGCATTCCTCACCAATAGGCCAGACCCTTACAAGTGCAAGTATTCATTTAACAAACATCCCACTGTGTGTGTGGCACTCATGTCAGCTGGAGACCCAGCTGTAAACAAGGGAGGTATGAATAACATTTACATTCTACAAAAATGTTAAAGAAGATAGGCAAAAACAAGTTGAAAAGCAAGGATAGGCCAGGCGTGGTGGCTCACGCCTTTAATCCCAGCAGTTTGGGAGGCTGAGGCAGATCACCTGAGGTCAGGAGTTCGAGACCAGACTGGACAACATGGTGAAACCCCGTCTCTACTAAAAATACAAACATTAGCTAGGCATGGTGGCAGGTGCCTGTAACCCCAGGTACTGGGGAGGCTGAGGCGGGAGAATCGCTTGAACCCGAAAGGTGGAGGTTGCAGTGAGCTGAGATTGTGCCACTGCACTCTAATCTGGGCAACAAGAGGGAGTCTCTGTCGAAAGAAAGAAGGAAGGAAGGAAGGAAGGAAGGAAGGAAGGAAGGAAGGAAGGAAGGAAGGAAGGAAGGAAGGAGAGGGAGGGAGGGAGGGAGGAAGGGAGGGAGGGAAGACTCAGATAATATTGAGTGTTCTGAAGATAAAGTAATGACAGAAACAGTTATGGGAGGGGGCTACATACTCATCTGGACAAGGGGTCAAGGAAAGTCTCCTCTGTGGAAGTGACATGTGAGCTGAGACCTAAGGAGGAGAAGGCACCAGCTGGGGAAAGAGCATGGGATGAGCGCTCTGGGTGCAAAGGCCCTGAGCTGGGAAGCTTCCTGGTATGTTGAGGGAGAGAAAGAAGAGCAAAGGGCTAAGGCGTACTAAGGAGGGAAGAGTGGCATCAGAAGAGGCTGAGAAAGTGAGCAGAAGACAGGACGTGCAGCGCACTTTATTCTAGGAACACTGGGAAACCACTTTGATTTAGGTTGTCAAAGGTCACTGTGGCTGTTTCATAGAGAATAAATGATGAGGGAGAAGAAGGAATGTTCTCAGTCATCCAGGCAAAAGCAAAAGTTGGTGGTGGTGGAGATGAAGGGAGCCAAAAGATGTGAGATTGCAATCTGGGTGGGTGACTGGCAAAGCTTTTTGAAAGAGCTGTGTTCTTTGGACAAAGACCTTTGCCTCCTTCAGGGCTTTTTATCAACCCAGAACATAGGGAAGTAAAATTAGGACTTCACACCCCAGTAACCATCCAACAGATTTTGGTCTATGCCTCTGGACAAAAGGACATGAAAAACCAATTAGGAGATTTCTCTTTGGAAGTCACTTTCCACAAGGAGGGATCAGTTGTAGAAGGAAAGTGAGAAAATATGAGCCAAGCTAGTTTAAATTAGTAAAGTGGCCAATTACTTATCCCCATCTTTCTCATATAGGATTGATCTGGACTGCATGGCATTTAAGTTTTTATAGTTTAGGAATGTTGACAGATATGTTAGGACTTTGTGCTTTGTGGCTAGACTTTCCTTATACTAGTATTGTATAACAATCCTTTGTTGTTTCTTCTTGTTGTTTTTGCACAACTGACAAAAATAGAAGCTCAACTTTTTCCTCTAGCTGGGGTAAATTTGCACTCCGGGAAATTGTTTTCAAATTGCAGATGGATGTAAAGTTGTAATTCATTTATGATACTTTAATTCAGAGTCTTTTTGACCTGAATTATAAACATTCAAGGGTTATAAATACTCTACACAAATCAACTCATCAAGATATTATGAAAATCAAACTGGCATCAACTGCAGTGTTCTCAGAGACTGGTGTGATGCTGAATTTCCTAAGGGTAGGAAGGCCAGGGCCCATCAGTAGTGGGAGGCACTCTCTAATATTGGTCTGAAAAGTCTAACTTTCTGGCAGTTCAGGCTGAAATGAGGTTTTATCTTCTGGCTTGGGACAAGTAGTGCCCTGAGTATAACCCTCCTGAGAACAAGGAATATTTCTGTTATTCATAGTTGGATCTTTTGGGCCTAGCACAGTGCTTGGCATGGAGGGACCACACACACAATATTTATCTAATCCATGAACATGATTAGTGAAATGTGGGCCGTTAGACCTGGCCTAGGTGGATATTGTGATTCCTGTGAAGCAGGAAGTGACTGTCAATGAAGTGACTCTTAGAGTGAACACTGCAGGTTACTGCAAATGAGGTGCCTGTCCAGGGAGTGGACAAACCAGTAACAACTGAAAATTTGATGGCCAATGCTTTGTCTCTTTGTAAACACTGTTTTCTTCTGTTGAGTAACCTATTATGGTCAGTCCTCCCGGCACAGCTGCTTAGATCAGAGCTAAGTAGTTAGGGGTATGTGAATGAGCTCACAGGCTGCGAT
Source organism: Homo sapiens (assembly GCF_000001405.40). Taxonomy (NCBI): domain Eukaryota; kingdom Metazoa; phylum Chordata; class Mammalia; order Primates; family Hominidae; genus Homo; species Homo sapiens. Next base: position 100,968,874 of record NC_000012.12, on the reverse strand, counting down.
GCCCATAGAGAACATACAGAAACATCACACACACACAGTCAGTCCTGCCCCATTTCATGCCTGTGGACGCAATGATGCCTTGGGGATCTGAAATGGTCTCACAGCTTTTCAGCTGAGCATTTGTTGGACTTCAGAAAAGATTGCCGCTTGCTTTTCAATACATAGTACAGTTTTCCAAGTTATAAAGCAGAAGAAAGACTGTATTTCCTAAAAATAGTTCTTTTTCTTTATATGAAGATATACTTCAGATCTGGGAAGGCTTTGTGGCTTCCTAAGTTGGAAATTTTAATCATGATAATGGGATTTCTTTAAATTCACTTAGCTTTCCTATAAGGTTCTATATTCACTCATCTTCCTATGAGAGAAAGAGTAAAATTGGGCAACACCGAAGACACTATATGGAAATGTGATAGAGTCACTGAATTAAACAAATGATTTAGAGCAGAATATAGCGCTTAGAGTATACTCTCTCCATAGATTTACTGTAAGTGTTAGGTCTTACAGAAAATAAACAATCTAGTGGGAAAATAATCATTTGAAGACTTTTCATAAATGTATGTAAACATTAAAAATATATTAAAATATTCCACTCAGAGAACAATATAAATACATTTCTATATGTAGAAAAGCTAAGTTCATTATCTGAACACATACTGAATCAACTAAAATTCTGACGTGGGATCTCAACCATTTTATGCATAAAAGGATAGCTGTTTTGATTTATTCAGCTGGATAAAAATCACTTATTATTTAAATAATAACAATATTATTTATTTATTATTTTTCATGTTTTGCAATTGTCAAAGCACATTCACATGTTACCCCATCTTATTCCCATATGAACCCTGTGAGAGTGGTTTTCCTTCAGTTTCTTAGAGGAGGAGAAAGAGAGGTGACAAGTGGCTCACCCACAGCCAAACTGAATGTTTACCCCAGACAGAGCTGATTCCATACCCTCACCTTTTAACTTCCTTTTGAATTATACCTGATAACTTCTGAAGTTTAAATAAATCCATGGCTTTGCAAATGCATTTAAGATGCATAGACTGAATTGTTGCTTTATCAGTTTATACAAATTCATCTTAAAAGAATTTCATATTTTAGAAAACAAAGCAACAAAAATAAAGAGGCTTTCCTTCATGTAAAGCAAACTTAAGTTACTAATGAACTGTGATTTTATTTGGGGCTATTAAAGGTTTTTTTGATTATCTTGAGAAAAAATATTACCTGAATTCTCTTGAATGGCGATGAATATCTATGAGTCCTCTGTGTGTGTGTGTGTGTGTGTGTGTGTGTGTGTGTGTCCTCTTTACATACTTAAGGGAAAATATAGTGTATGGGGCTTATTATTTATATTCAGTTTTTCAAGGAAGAACTGAGAAGGCATTACCTACTGCTTGTTACTGAATGCCTTCTGAACTTCAGCCCTGAGAAATAAATGAGAAACAGATGATTGCTAATTATATGGCCCATAAATCATTCTTTTCTCTACTGCCAAATGATTACACCGCTGTTTCTAGATAGGTCTTTCCTTATTATTAAGTATTCCTTGCCACATAAATCCAAGTGCACAAGAGCCAAAGTGAAAAGAAATGAAAATGATTTTTATGAAACATAGAGTTGTTTCATTAATATACTGCAATACAAATTCCTGGGAATAAAACCTTGGGGAGAGAAAAATTACCACTTAGAGAAGTTTGGGAAAATATTCTTAGAAAAATGACTGAGAAAATTAACGAGTATCATGGGAAATTACCTGGAGTAAAAAGAGATAAGATTCACACACAAAATTTTTTTTTCTTTTGTTCAGCAAGAACATACTGAAAACCTTCTATTTAATAAATTTTGGTCCATGCCTTGGTATGTAACAGTCACAGTCCTTGCAACAGTAAGGCAGGAGAAATGCCATGCCACTATCTAATCCAAGCAGTCCATCTCTCAAAGGAGTGTGTATGCATATATATATGTATGTGTGTGTGTGTGTGTGTGTATGTGTGTGTGTATATATATATACATGTGTGTATATGTGTGTGTGTATATATATGTGTATATATATATGTGTGTGTGTGTATATATATACATGTGTGTGTATATATATAGTATAAACACACACATCTCCACATCTCATGATTCCTGTTGCCATTTATTGAGAAGAGGAAATAGAGACAGACCAGGTTTGGGCATGGGGGATGGGGGTACAGAGGTAGATCATAAACTCAGTTTTGGAAAAGTTAAGTTTGACATGCCCAGGAGAAGATGTCTTGTGGGTAGTTAGACAAATGAGTCTGGAGCTCAGGGTAGAAGTCTGGGCCAGAGATACAAAGCAAGTGTGTCCAGGATAAACATGATATTTAAAGGGCTGGTAGAGGCCACTATGGGAGTATAGGTACAATGCCATGTGGGCATCTGTGCCTCAGAGGTTAGCAATTCGGACTGTGAGGTTGGATTTCACATATTTATATTCATTTATCTACCTCTTACCAGCCCTGTGATCTTGAACAAGCTATTTAACTTCTCTGTGCCTCAGTTTGTTCAAATGTAAAATAGGAAATGATAGCAATGCATATCTTATTGAATCGTATTAAATGGCATAATGCCGTTAAGGTGCTCATAGTAAATCTAAAAATATGCTTGTTGTTATCTCCAAGAGGGGCCACATCATATTGGTGGTATGGTGAAAAGAACACAGCATTCCTACTCACTCAAATTATAACCTGAGAAGGTAATAAATAAGAAACCAGTATTTTGGAAGGATTTATCAGTCTTTGATGACAAGCCCGAACCACCAGAAATCCTGAGATCCAAGCACCCAATTCCTGTCTTTTTTCCCTCAGTATCTTCAGGGTTTCCTGCAGGTTCGTCTGTGACATTCATTCAATAACACCCAAAAATGTTCATTAAGTGGCTACTCTGTGTCAGGGACTCTTCCAGGTGATGGATATACCACAGTAGATAGGATTTACAATCTAGAGTGGGAGACAGACATCAGACAACAAATAAGCATGATGTAAAATTATGAAAAGTATTTAAAAAGGAAAAGAATATAGTTCTGTGGCAGAAAAGAACTGGAGGCACCTGATTAAGATTTGCTGGTTGATCTGTGATTAGGTGACTTTTATCCTGAAATCTGAAAGATGAGACGGTGTTAGGCATAGGAAGAGTCAAGTGAGAAGCATTCCAAGCAGAAGAAACAGCAAGAACAAAGGCCCAGAGATTGTTCCGGGAACTAAAAGGCTGGGGTGATTGAACATTGTAAAGTGTGAGGTGGAGAGAGTTACCTAAGATAGGATTAGAGAAGAGGGCTGGGAATGATCATGCCAGGCCAGGTACAATGTGGTAAGAAGTTTGGATTTATTTTCCAAGGCCAATAGGAAGCCACTAATGAGTTACAGGCAGGGATCACTTGTTTCCAAAAGTGCGTGCTGCATGTTTTGCAGAGAATGGTCCACAGGAAGCATAGGAGTGGGAAGTTCAATAAGAAAGTTATTCTAGTAGCCAGGTGAGACAAGATGGTGGTTAGAACCAGAACGAAAGGAGAAATAGACGGACTTGAGATCTAGTGGAGGTAGGTTTGAAAGAACTTGGGACTGAACAAATAAGGAGGGTGAAAAAAAAATCCCGTGCCTAGAATGATGAAGAGGTTATTTGGCCTGGGGAACTGGACAGATGGTAGTACTCTTAACTGCAGTGAGGGGCTGGAGCTGTCCAGTTTGTCCCAAAGTTGTGTAGGTGACAATGCACCTGTAAATCATGGTGGTCTTTGCAGATAGCCATGAATCCCATTGTGTGAACTGTAACTTAGCATTCACTCACACATCCACTCATCTATTCTGCAAATCTTTACTGATGGCCTGTGATGTTCCAGGGCCTGTCCTAGGTGCTGGGAATACAGCTGTGAACAAAACAGACCAAATCCCTGCTCTTGCGGAACTCAAGCTCTAATGGGGAGACAGACCCTCAATAAATAGACGTGTAATACTTCTGATGATGTGCTTTGAAGAAAAATAGAGTAAGAAAATAGAAAGTAATGGTGGGAAGGAGATGCTATTTTAGATAGAGTGGTGTGGACAAGCCTTTTGATAAGGTTACATTTGAACAGAGACCTGAAGAAATTACTCAGGGAGGCTGTTCTATTACACAGGGAGAGAGCATTCCAGTCAGTGAGAAGAGTAGAAGACAAAGGCCCTGAGGCATAAATATGCTTGACGTTTCAATTTACTGAGCGTGAAGGATCAAATCAGGTTAGCCACTTGCATCTGCTCTGTATCCCCTTAGGTAACTATCTGGGCATCACTTTCTCATAACTATACTGTTAAGAGGACAAAGCAAAACTCTAAAATTCTGGGGCTAGGAGGAGATATTAATTTCTAATTGGAAACTCAGATAAGCCTCTTGGATTAAAAAAAATCATAGTGAATGCAAATGAATAGTAATGATAGAGACGGGACCAGCTACATAGTGCCACTACACGTTAGGTGGTGTTTCAAAGCTTTTGCATACATTAAATCATTCAATTTTCACAGCAACCCCGGTATTATTATTATTCTAATTTATTGCAAATGAGGAACTAAAGCACAAAGAAGTCTGGTACCTTGGCTAAGTTTACTCAAGTAAGGAATGGAGCCTGGTTCTCATCAATGCAGTCTGGCTTCAGAACTGCTGTTTCACAAGAAGAAAGCTGAGAGGCTCACACTATGTATTTGCTCATGAACTCAATTCCACTGTAATTTTTTTTTGAAGGAATGCTTAATTATATATTACAGTCAATGCACAATGTATACAGTTGGCTTTAACATCCTAAAAATTAATGTAAGGCCAGTAGTAAGAGCAAATTTCAAGCTTGGTTCTGCCATCTGTGGGCACATTACTCAATTCATAAGCCTCAGTTTCTTCATTTGTAAAATGAGGAAAATAATATCTGCCTTGCAGCATCATTCTGGAGCTGTCATGGTTGTATAGTACTGGTTCAATAAGTGAGAATTTCTTTCTTCCACTCACAGGTACTGAATGCTTGGGGGACATTTGGGTAACCCCCAATAGCTGACACTAGAATTCCTTGATGTTTCTGGAATCTAGCCTGTGAAACTGATGGATAAGTGTACATTCCTCGAGGGTTAAAGGGCTCCTTTAACTCCTCTCAGTGGGGCTATCATCTAGCCAACTGTGTAGCACTGGGCAAATGACTTGTACTTTTATGAGCTCCAGTTTTCTCTAAAAAATGAGGGCACGTGTCTCTAAAAAGAAATTTTTTGCATCTGTTATTCTTTTCCCTTAGGGACACATTGGAATTTGTGAGTGTAGTTTACAAATGCTCTTCAGCTGATTCGGATGCAATTTCCTCTCTGCAACACATACACACACACACACAGACACACACACACACAGACACACACACACAGTGTCCTGGTGGAGAGAAGCCTCTTGAAGTACTATATGTTCCTAAATGATTACAATATTCATTCCCTGAAAGTGACATTAGTAACAGCAACAAGAAATTGGTGTGTGTGAAATTGCCACTCCCTCCCCCTTAGTAGACCTTTAAGTGGAGGTCCCTGAGGACTTCATCCAGGCTCTAGTCTCATTCTACCTGTCCTCCCTAGATGATCTCATCCCTTGTAATGGGTTTAGATGTCACCTATTAGCTGATATCTCCAAGACTCATATCTTTGGCCCACACCTCTCTTCTGAGCTCCAGATCAGTGTAGCCAGTGGTCATTGTGGCACCTGGTACCTGGTGTCTCACTGGCAGATCAGACACATCAATGTCTATAATGGATCTGCTTCACTGGCAAAATTGCTCTTCTTCTCAGTGTCCCCAGACCAGGAAATGGCACAATCATCCTCTTAGTAGCTCAAGTCCAGGAGCCATCTTTAACTTCTTTTTTCCTTATGTCATATCCAACAAATCACCAAGTCTTATTGATTCTACCTTTTAAACTTCTCTCTAATCTATCCACTTCTCTCCATCTCTACTGCCACCACCCTCCTTTGAGCAACCATCATCTCTCTTCTTGAATACTGCAACAGCCTCATGGCTGGGCTCCTTCCATTGCAGCGTGGATTGGGCCGAATGCATTAGATGAGTCCTTAAAAAAGAGCCTAGAGGTCAGAGAGATTCTCCTGCTCGCTTTGAAGAAATAAGCCACTGTGTTGTGTGAGGGTCTCTGAGGGGTCTCTAGAAGCTGAGAACTATATCTGGCTGAAGGCCAACAAGAAAATGAAGACCTCAGACCTACAACCACAAGGAAAACTAAATTCTGCCAATAACTATGCGAGAGGACCTTGAGCTGCAGAAAAGAATGCAACCTGGCAGACACCCTGGGGTGGCCTTGGAGGGATCCTGATTAGAGGACACAGTTGAGCTGTACCCAGACTCCTGACCCACAGAGACTGTGGGAGCATAAACATAGGTTGCTTGAAGCCTTGAAGTTTGAAGTAATCTCTTCAGCCGCGATATAAAACTAATGCAGGTCATATTCCAGCTAATGAATACTCTAATTATAGATTTCATTGCTGTCTTTGTGAGACTGTACACTTCTCCACAGTTGTATTCCCAGCACCCAGCATGTTACTGAGCACACAGTCATTGAGAAGGAATGCTTCCTAAATGAATTTATGAACATCTTGTGATCGAGACTTCGAGTAGCTTTCTCACATTATTGATTACCTTGTTAAAACACTATTATCAGGCAGAAAAAAATTCATCCTCTTACCACAGAGGTTTCAATGTGGCTAAATTTATGAGAAACTAAAGTAAACTCTCCTCTAGGCCACAATTAGGAGATGTTCAGTGCTGAGGGGCTGAGCACAAATCTTCACACATTTCATTAGAGGTTCTCTATGTTGCCATAAAGTGAATCCCCTGATGCAACATACTCTTTGTCACTTTGTACCAACCCTGGTGATCCCCATGTCAAGTCTGGAAGACTTACTTCATCAGGGTATCCAAGGAAAATCAATGTTTAGTGTAGCAGTCAGGATGGGCTAAGTTATGTTGCAGCAACTAATAACCCCCAAATATCAGTAACTTCAAACAGCAGAGCTATACTGGCAGTACAGTAGGCAACTGGGGCCATTAAACACTTAAAATATAACTAGTTCAAATTGAGATGTGCTGACTGTGGAAAGTACACACCAGATTTTGAAGACTTAGCATATATACAAAAAAAGAATGTAAAATATCTCAATAATTCGTATGTTGATCATATGTTTAAATGATATCTTAGATCTATTGGATAAGCAAAACTATTATTAAATTCATCTGTTTATTTTTACCTTTTATATGTAGCTCCCGAATATTTTAAATTACATTATTTCTATCGGCTAGTGCCATGATAAAGTTTATTTCTTGTTCATGCTACATGTCTACTGCAGGTCAGCTCGTTGCAGTGATTTAGTGGTTCATGCTGATGGGTCACTCTGCCAGAGGGAAGGCAGAGCTCAGAGGGCCTCATAAGGATACATAACACTTCTGTGCCCAGCCCATTGAACAGAAGTAGTCATATGGCTACATCTATCCACAAGACCACCGGCAGTGGGAGTATATCTGATACTGCTAATTAATACACCCTGATATAGACAACCTTCTTCCATCACCTTCTTAGATCTATTATGAAAAGCAAATGTTTTATCTGCCTCACAACACAATGACTCATAAAATCATTCAGCAAACACCTAAAGATGATTTAACTACTGTGCACTGTGTTGCCTAGTGCATAGGCCCTAATTGGACCCTCGGGATACAAAGAAGGTTAAGACATAGTTCAAGATCTCAGGGAACTCAAAATTCAGCAAAGCAATGATGACCCTAATTATAAATAATGTAATTAGTATGAACAGAGGTTGGTCTACTATCTATTGGGAGAGAAAATACTCCCTTTGTAGGTAATCCCAGTACTAAATCTCTCCTTAGAAGTAAGCAATGTCAGTTCTGATCTATAAAATTCCAAACGTCCCTTCACTTCTTACAGACCATCATAATGTTTTCCCTACTCTTCTAGATGGTATATGAGATAAACTGAACTTGGGGACAACTTTATCATCACAGTATACTTTTTATTATCACAAAACATCAACCCACTGACAGCCATTCACAGCTATGACCCAATCAGTAACCCATGAATCGCTATGCCCTTAGTACGCTGCAGAGATTAACAGCCATGAAATAAGCAAGACCCAGAAAAGACAGAAGAATTTGGTGTCTTCTGCTAGTGAGGAAGCAATTTAACTTTGGAAATACTTTCTTTTTTTACTATCTGTCTTTTTTTTTTTTATTTTACTTTAAGTTCCAGGATACATGTGCAGAATGTGCAGGTTTGTTACATAGGTATACATGTGCACTTGGGAAGGGTTATGACATCCCTCCTCAGTCTGTTATATTTATGTCTTGGTGAAATGCTGATCAAAATTAGAGGATGTTACAGGGCACACAGCGGTATAGTCTATCAAGTGTTTTTACCTAAAGGTTATACAAAACTGTCAATAAATGGGGCTCTTATGATTTTTAATAACAGAGAAATCTGATAGGTTATACCTCAACTCATATCACTTCCTCATTGGTATAATGCTGATATAACTACCCTCACCTACTTTATAGGGTGTGTGTGTGTGTGTGCGTGTGTGTGAATATGTATGTACATGTATATATAAAGTACATTTGAAAACATTTTCTGTGGGGGTCACTAGTGTGTCCCTGGCATCGGTTCTCCTCTCCTTCAGGCACAGGGAAATCTGAGCTCCTTAGCCCACTTGGGTAGGCAGGAGCCATATCATGAGCTCTAGCCATTGAGCTGTGAGCAGAGCCTTGAAGTCTGGTGTGTGATTTGTGTTTCCCTGCCCCAGAGGCAGGTGTCTGGATGCAGCTTCTGTTATCTGGGTCCCTGGTCGCAGCAAAGAGCATTCCTCCTCCTCCACTTCTGCCATCCTGAGATCAAAAACTAAACCCTGCTGCCTAAAGCCTCTGAGATGACAAAGCCTCGAGTGACAGGCAGAAGCTATATAAAGCTATGGAACTGGACAAAAGTCACAGGAAGATGGAGATACAGAAGAAAAGGGGACCCAGGATCAAGTCTTAAAAGACTAATATTTGAAGATCAAACAGAAGAGAAGGTGAGCAAAGGGGATTGAGAAAGAGCCAATGAAGAAGGAAGCAATCCAGGAAAGCATGAGATGTCACCAAAGCCAAGAGAAGCATGTTTTTCTCAAGGAAGGAATGACTCACCATGTGGAGGAAAGCTGCTGGTGAGGCCAGTAAGATAACAGAGACGGCATGACTGCTGGATTTGATCACAGGCCACCTTTATAAAAGGGGTTTCTGTGAAATGGTGAGGGAGAAAGCCCAAACTGAGAAGTTTGAAAACAGAATGGTAGGTGAGGAGATGGAGACAGGACACTAGACAAATCTTTCAAGAAGTTTTCTGTGAAGTGTAGAAGAGAAACGGAGTGGTCATTAGAGGAGAGTATAGGGGTCAAGAGATTTTTCATCTTGTGAGTTATGGGAGCATGTTTGTAACAACTGAGTAGAGAGGAAAAATGATGATGCAGGAGAGATAGAGGAAGACAATTACAGGAGCAAAGTCCTTGAGAAGGTGAGGTGAGAGGGGATTCAGCGAATAATAGGAGAGCTCCCGCGACAGCACACACAGAGTGGTGGTGGGAGGGAAGGTTGAGGGTGGGGAGTCACAGAAGATCCTGTCTGAGCATTTTCATTTTCTATCAGAGTATAGGCAAGGTTATCAGCAGAACTGTGTGTGTGTGTCTGTGGAGGGGGGTTGAGAGGGATGAGGGTGCAGAGAAAACAGGTGAGAAGGTTGATTGGGCAGAGAGAGGGCAGTGTGAAGTAACAGTGGGCCAACTCCCCCACCTATTCGAGATCTTGGTCAAACATCACCTTCAGTGAGCCCCCACCCAACACCCTATTTAAAATGACTATCCTTTTCCCTTAGTGCTCTCATACCCACACTCTGCTCTGGTTTTTCTTGTGCCATGTCATTTATCACCTTCTTTTTTGTTTGTTTGTTTGTTTTTTTGAGACAGGTTCTCACTTGTTGCCCAGGCTGGATCGCAGGGGCGCAATCTTGGCTCACTGCAGCCTCAACCTCCCAGTCTCAAGTAATCCTCCTGCCTCAGCCTCCCAAGTAGCTCGGACTACAGGCATGCACCAATACACCTGGCTAATTTTTTGCATTTTTTGTAGAGACAAGGTTTCACCATGTTGTCCAGGCTAGTCTTCAACTTGGGACTCAAGTAATCCTTCCACCTTGGCCTCCCAAAGTGCTGGGATTACAAACATGAGCCACTGCACCTGGCCCTCTATTTATCACCTTCTAACATACTGTATTATTTACTTATTTATTATGTTTATTGTTCACGGTTTCCCTCACTAGAATGTGAGTTTCACAAGGGTAGGGGCTCTCTGATTTGTTCACTGATGTATCCCAAGTGCCTTGAATTGTGCCAGGCACTATATGATTTTTTAATGATTGAAATTTTAAAATTGAATCAATGAAAGAAAGAAGCAAAGAGAGAGAGAGTGAAATGGGAAAAGAGGGAGGAAGAAAGTTACTTGATTTTTATAGAGAGGACGAAGCAAAAGTACCAGGCTCACTGAGCATTCTCTGGTACCTGTGTGAGACTGCGGTCATGATGTAAAGTGAACCAGTCAGCATGTTTTTTCCAGCAACATTAAATCACTCAGGGGTGGGCATGAACAAGATGCAGTTTAACCATGGTCGGGGCTTTGCCCGGCAAATAAGTCAAAGGAATAAAGGAGTGAGAGAATTCAGGTGCTTGTGAGTGGTCATGATGATGAACTACAGAATCAAAGCTAAGTAATGAGGGACATGAAATAATGATTTAAAAAAATGGTTGTGGCTGGGCATGGCTCATGCCTGTAATTCTGTCACTTTGGGAGGCTGAAGTGGGCAGATCACCTGAAGCCAGGGGTTTGAGACCAGCCTGGCCAACATGGCGAAACCCCATCTCTACTAAAAAAAATATATAAAAATGATGTCTTAGTTTATTTTGTGTTGCCACAACAGAATACCTGAGATGGGGTAATTTATGAAGAAAATATTATCATTTAGTTCATAGTTCTGCAGGCTGGAAAGTACAGGAAAGTAGCCGGGCTTGGCGGTGTACGCCTGTAATCCCAGCTACTCAGGAGGCTGAGGTGTGAGAATCGCTTGAACCTGGGAGGTGGAGTTTGCAGTGAGCTGAGATCGCGCCACTGCACTCCAGCCTGGGCAACAGAGCAGACTCTGTCAGAAGAAATAAAAATAATAAATTAAAAAATGGTTGGGATAATTCAACAGCAGGCTTATTATCACAGTCAATATACTCCCCAATGACATTTTTGGACAATTTAAACCCACTGGCCATGGTTTGGATATGGTTTGTTTGTCTCCACCATAACTCATGTTGAAATGTCACCCCCAGTGTGGTAGTGTGGAGAGGTGGGGCTTTGTGAGAGGTGTTTGGATCATGAGGGTGCTGCCTTTGTGGGTAGCTTGGTGCTTGGTCTCACTCTGGTGAGACTGCACCTGTTCCTGCAGGAATGGATTAGTCCCACAAAAGTAGGTTGTTATGAAGCCAGGACACCTCCCAGGTTTTGCCTCTCTTCGCATGTGTCTACTTCCACTTTGACCTTCTGCCATGATGTGACGAAGCACAAAAGCCCTCACCAGAGGCCGAGCAAGTGTTGGCGCTGTGCTTCCTGTATTTTCCAGCCTGTAGAACCATGAACTAAATGATAATATTTTCTTCATAAATTACCCCATCTCAGGTATTCTGTTGTGGCAACACAAAATAAACTAAGACATCATTCAAAGAAAGTTTCAGTTCCAAGTATTTAAGAGTTTATTTAGAACTCCCTTTCCTTAAAAAGAGTTAATTTTAAAAAGGCATTAAGGTACAGCTTTGCTATGTACAAATGGGACCAGAGAAAAAAAGGAAATGACAAACTAAAATTCAGTACTTAATTGATGGCTTAACTGTGTTCTGTCAACTAAGTAAAACATTATGTGACATAAGGAATCAAGACTAACAGTTTTTCACTTGACTGGAGTTTCTACAGATACGTGCAGTTGGGGGAGATCCCCTTGAACAATCAGAAGCAACAGCGAACAGCGAACGCCTGTAACAGGTTACCCTTTTATAACTATATGATGTTATCCATGAGTCACTGATAAAAGACTAGATTTCAGAAGATTCTTATTAGAGTCTGAGAAACTGAATCAAGGCAGCCTCAGATGAATGCCAAAGTGATTTACTGCTACACAATCCAAAAGAATATTCTGGCTGAAGAAAGGAACCTACAGACTGAGGAGGAAGAGAGTCCCCAAGAGGCGACATAATGCACTTCTGAAACTCTAATGGGCACAAGGTCTCACCACATGTACTTTTCTTTCCTGCCTGCTGGACTGCTAAGGTCAAGGAAAATCATGTGTAGTATAGTTTCATTTTTCTGCCTGCTCTACTCCTGGTCTTCTAGAAAACTCTTTTTAATTTCAACATGTGTAGAAAACAGAGAGAAAGAAGAATGGAGCTGAAAAACAAAGTACTCTAGTGAGCAGTAACACCACCTTCTTCGAAGACCATCATGATCTTGGCTAAGTTTGTAGGTAATGGCTGGTACAGTTTGTTTAGTAAAATCCTTGGCCTGAAAGAAATTGGCATTGAGATGATTCTTATTTAAATATAAGTACAGTGTGATGGATTTGGTTGTAAAGAGGCTAAATGATATTTGGTTGCAACATTTTGGAAAAAAATTACTATAAAATGCACATCTTTCTAGCTCTGTCATTAAGGTCTAGAACAATTGTATCTGATGTCAATTATGTTCATGGGAAATTGCTAAGCGAGCATATATAATGTGAAAGTCAAGATGACATGATGAGCCAGGCACTGTGGACTAGGGAGAAATCCGTGCAGTCCTCATGGGATTCACACTCTGTCTGGGAAGCAGAGGTGCACAGAGGAGCCCTAAGGCCTCAATTCAAAGTCTATCATGCCATCGTTTATGTTGTTTCCCATCTGGAATGCCATGCCCTTCTACTTTCTGACTTGGTGAATATCTAATCATCCTTTAAGTCCCAGGTCACCTCTCTTAACCTTCCTGAAATCTCTGCAGAGTATGAAATTCCCCAGGGCTTCCATAGAACTTTTCAAACTGTATTCTATCCGTTTCACATCTGCCTTCATTGCTAGTTAGTGAGCTCCTCAAATACGCTGAGCATATTGTGGCAGCTTATATTTTCCAAAGATGGCCCCAACATTACTGTTCATCCCACACATCTTCTAGAACCTTATGACTCTCCATCAAGAGGTGGAATCTATGTCCCTTCCCCTTCATTCTGCCTTTCCCAGTGGAGTACAGCAGAATAAATGCTTCTAGGGCTAGGTCGTAAAAGTTCACTTTTACCTTGTTCTCCTAGAACCCAGCCACGATGTCATGAGAAAGCCTAGGCAGCCTGTGAAGAGGCCCACAGCCCACAACCCTGACTGAGCTTTCAGCTGACAGCCAACACCAACATTCCAGCCATGTGAGTCAGCCACCTTAAAAGGGGGGTCCTCCAGACACTAGTAGTGCTGCTCCGACTGATGTCCTATGGAGCAGACGGAAGCTGTCCCTACCAAGTCCTGCTCAATTGCAGATTTGAGAGCAAAAAGAATGACTATTATTTTAACATACAAGTTTTGGAGTTGTTTGTTATACAATAATAGATAACTAGAACATTTATTTTTTATTCTCCAGTGCCTGGCACAATGCCTGGAACATAATAGACGCTCAATACACGTGTGCATGAGGATTGATACTCTCACTGCAGGGGCTGGACACGACAAAGGGAACCTTCTTTAATTCCTCTGTGGGCAGTTATGGTGGAAGGAATTTTTAGCTTGTCTTTCCTTGTTTCTTTTCCCTCCCCTGCATCACAAACACAAGGACATTTCCATAGGCAGGCTTGTGGCTGCTGCTGACTATCCAATTAAATATTGGGTCCCAGTGAATTCTGCTATGCTTTGAAAAAAGACAGTTGCCTAACGTTAGCATCAGAACAAAGATGTGGGTTTCTGGGAGGAACTCTGACTGGGTGATTTACTCAGCCATGCCCATGTTAAAAAACAGAAATAGCTGCTCCTCTGTCTCAAAGGCAGGTGTTAGATTTCAGACCTTACAACTTTTAAACCATCTGGGTATTACAGAGATGGGGCTAGCATAGCCTCAAATGAAGGGACAGGGAACAACCTGTTAGGAGGGCTGGTGGCTGCACTATATTGTTTGTTGTCACCTTAGCACCTCCTTCTGAGTCCTCTGCATTGCTGAGAAGCTGCGACCAGAACTTGGTTCTGGTTTCCCAGAATCCCCTTCTCCATAAAGTTCTGGGTTAAAGTGTACAATGATGGGTGCTCAGATGGAAGGTGGGAAAGGAGAGGCTGTTTCTCAGGCAGGTAGTTACAGGCAGATTTGAGGTTTGAAGCAGCTCCAGGTAAGTTTTGAGAATCATGTGCTGCAGAAGGGCATTAGTGAGATCCCAGTGGCTTCCACGCCGGCACCTGTGACCTGCTGCTGTGGTGCTTCAGGCTGAAGTGATGGGAGGTGGATTCCCTGACCTTCATGCCCAACCTTTTAAGTGGTCTTACAGTGCTGTAAAATTATTTATTGAACACTTCATTCCTGGAGGACACAGAGTGGCTTTCCCGCACAACCCTGAATGAAAGAGGGGCTAGGCAATTATAAGTACTAGGGAAGAATTTTAAAGAAGAAACTTTGGGTTTCTGGGTAGGCAAAAGTGAAGAGGTAGCACCCAGAATGAGAGTTCAACTGATTAATGGAAAAGGACAAGTTAGGGAGGTGTTTGCAACTAGGTCGGGCCTCTCCAAAATCCCAACACTGCTCGTGCACTTGACTTTTTTCCCTGTTCATTTAGATGCAAACACCAGAGTTTACCTCTATCCCACAGCCAAATCCAGCTATTCCCCCTGCTACCATACCCCCCCATTCAGTTACTCCACTTACTCTTCCTACACCCATGCCAGCCTGCATAGGAATGCACAAAACAAAGGAAACCCAGCAGTGGGAAAATTCTGCAATGCTTTAGAGAGTTGGGTTTAGACATGCAAATTCCAATTTCTCTTTGTGCTTAGTTCACCCATTATCATAGAGATTTTTCTTGAACTCCTGAAATGAAATAGTGACTCCTTCCCAGTATTCCTGTATATTTCTCCACAATACCTATTACATCTGATATATTTATTTAATGCCTCCCTTCCTTCAATAGTAGTAGATATTCATCAGACATTTGATGAATGAATGAATGAATTACTTCATCTGGAAATGGAGTTATTAGATACCACAGACTGCTCTTAAAATATGCCTAAGATACAACAGGAAGTGAGCTAAGCCAGGGCCCTTGCCTCAAGAGGCAGTGCTGCATCATCATTTTTGCAACTAAGGTATGTCAAGTTCAATTAATAATACTCAGCTTACACTTCATCTTTTTCAAATTTTTCACTTGTAAGGGTTACAAGCTGGAGATTGTAAATGGATTTACAGTTCTCCAGGCTGCTTCAAAGCTTTTAAATCTCTCCATGCCATTAATGAATAATTAGTGTCATATTCATGATATATACTTTGCATAATTTTCAGCAATTTATCATAACATAGCAAAAACAGCAGGAGCAAAAGTATCACAAAGGACTTCAATTCCTTTCATAAATATAATACAATGCCCACATGTGGCACATAATGATGATTATGCAAAACGTGCTTTATATCAGAGAAGTTAAATTTAGACTGCTGAGAAATCTTTTAGATTAAATAAGTTTCTTTTTGTGGGATGACAATAGTTCATAAAATGACTTGAGTTTTTCAGCTGTGCCTTGTATAATGGGTATTTTTTTCCCTTAAAGTTGGTCTGTCTTGACTGAAGTAATATGCGTGAGTTATATGAAATACGTGTTGATTTGGAATAATCCTTTGAATAAATCAAGATAACTTTGTACAGGTCATCTTGACCTGGCAACAGAAATGTTTTGATTAAACTTTGTCTACCTAAATAAGCAAAAGCAGTTGAGGCAATAATGAGGCCCTTAGATCTTTAAACCGGTCTCAGAAATTAGAGTAAGACTAAGGGAGGGAGGGAAAGGAGGGAGAACACCTTCTCTCAAACCATCATCAATTTGATAAAACTGCCCTAACAAGATGAACCAGTAAGAATACAGCCCTGATTCTACAGACTGATATGGGGCAGTGGTAGGTGGACTGAGTCCTGGTGATGAGGTGGGACTTATCGTTATATCTCTTGCCATCTACCAGGTCCCCTCAGCTTTCCCCAGACACACAAGGACTCTCAGCCCAAGAGGTGACAGGATTGAATGCTTGAGCTTCAGGAACAGGATGACCAGTGGTTGAAATCACTCCCTTCTTTATCAGTACCATCAATGCCAACAACAGCCATGCGTTAAAGCTGTCAATATGTCCAGACTCTTTCCTAAGCATATTGTAATTTATTAACTCATTTTATCCTCATAATAGCCCTTGAGATAGGAATTATCTGGCACTTAACAAACAAAGAAACTAAGGCACAGAGAGATTAAAAGCTTTACACAGTTATTCACTTAGTAAGTGGTGAAGTAGTAAGTGGATCTAAATCCCAGCTGTCTGGCTTGAGAGCCAGTCTTCACATACTCTATTCTTCCCCTCAAATACATAGGCCTCTTTTCTGATTCAAGAGTCTGATGTTAAGAGTGCTGAAATAAGTTGGTTGACCATGGATAAAAGAATGGAAGCGCTACCCCCTAGACACTACAACAAACCATATAATATTGGATCAAGGGTCAAACCCAGGGATTCTCAGCTAGGGATGATTCCTCCCTCCCCCCACACCAGGACATGTGACAATGCTTGGAGATATATTTGGTTGTCATTACTTGAAGGAGGTGCTACTGGCATCTAGTGGGTAGAGGCTAGAGATGCTGCCAAATATCCTGTAAAGCACAGAATAGCCCTCTACAACAAAGAATTATCCAGCCCTAAATGCCAATAGGGTCTATGTTGAAAAACCCTGGAGATGAATTGACTGTTGTTACCCAGACTCAGCTGTGAAAATCAGCTATCCACAATCTTTTGTAGCAAACTCAGGATTCCACAAGCTAAGCACTGTAATAAGTCTTTGGAATGCAAAAACCAGTAAGACAAAGTCTCTCTCTCAAAAAAGAAGAGACATATGTCCATGTGTTCTCATCGTTCAGCTCCCATTTATAAGTAAAAACATGCAGTATTTGGTTTTCTGTTCCTGCATTAGTTTGCTAAGGATAATGGCCTCCAGCTCCATCCATGTCCCTACAAAGAACATGATCTTGTTCTTTTTAATAGCTGCATAGTATTCTATGATGTGTAAGTACTATGTTTTCTTTATCCAATCTGCCATTGATGAGCATTTAGGTGGATTACATGTCTTTGCTATTGTGAACAGTGCTGCAGCGAACATACATGTGTATGTGTCTATATGGTAGAATGACTTATATTCCTTTGGGTATATACACAGTAATGGGATTGCTGGGTTGAATGGTAGTTCTGTTTTTAGCTCTTTGAAGAATCTCCACACTGCTTTCCACAGTGATTGAACTGACACTCCCACCAGCAGTGTCTAAACATTCCCTTTTCTCCACAACTTTGCCAACATCTGTTATTTTTTGACTTTTTAGTATTAATAATAGCCATTCTGACTGGTGTGAGATGGTATCTCATTGTGGTTTTAATTTACATTTCTCTAATGATTAGTGATATTGAGCTTTTAATATGCTTGTTGGCCACATGTATGTCCTCCCTCAAAGTGATTACACTAGCAACATGGAATCTTTACCTTTGAGAAATAGCATCCTAAAATTAGAAGAACAACTTGACAAATTAAAACAGAAGAAATTCCAATGTGTACTTGTTCTCTCTTCACTTGGTCAAGGACCCCCATGAATTTCATGTTTGCTGGCATCTCAAAAAGTGCTGTCTGAATACCACAGATTTGGCAGCATCTCTACTACTAATTCAATACCAGTGGTAATGTATGCTGCTGGTACCCAGAATGATCCTCAGCCAAACGGACAGTGCCTACCTCTCACCACCTTCACAGACCTCAGCCAATGACTGACTGACGTGGGGGCCCGTGTCTGAAAAGTAGACCAGCTCTGTGCTGCACCTGCTGATTACCGAGTTCCCCTGTGGGATCAGGCTGAAGGTAGTGTCCAGCTGAGGCCATGCTTTTGGCTTAGCTGTTCTCTTCTGCTCCTCTCATGCCCCTTTCTCCTGAGATTGCCCCACCCATCAACAACTTGAGGAAGAATTCTCACCTCAAGTTCTGCTTATGCTTTGGAAATCCAGCCTAAGACTCAAGTTAACAGAAAAGCCACCACAAGTGTGGACTGACATTGGTAGCTCCTGAAAGACACTCAAGGAATCGCCAGGGCTCTGAGGTTCAGAAGAAAATCTGCTTTCTTCCTTCTTTGGTTATGACTGTCCTAAATTCTCCTTTCTTGTCACCTTAACTTGAGACCCTTGGTAATACAAGTGTGTGACATATAAGAAGATTGAGTGGAGTAAAGTGGAGATTATTGGGTGGAGAAAAGTCTGATTTTCTTTTTCTTTTTTTTTCTTTTCTGACCAGAAAGCCCTAGAGGACAGAAATCTGGGTAGTGCACATAGTCCTGACACTCATTTATTTGAGACACTCATCATCATGTTTTCAACTGTGAAGGAAGGGAGGATGTTGTCGTTCTTGTATCCTCGGAGTTCTGGATGCTGAGAGAGCATCTACAGCAACAAGCTGGATGTGGCTGCAGTATATAAATGGGGATGAAATTAGGGTAATTTGGGCAGGAAGTCTACAAGGGAACAGAGCCATCTGCATGAGATTAGCTCTTTAAGTGGGGAAATCTTTGTGAAGATTTCCTTTGAATGGGGGTAAAGAAACACTGGGATGGACAATCAAATACAGTTTTTGTTGTTGTTGTTACTATTGTTGTTTAGCTCTGAATTGATCTATAACTTTATACCCAGATGAATCTAAAACCAAATCCTCTCCAAGCAGATAAACATCTGAACCTTGATCATGCTAAACTTGTTACCAAATGTATTCCGAGTTCTTCCAAGAGCATTAAATTATAAATCTCATTAATGCATACACAGTAACAATATATGACCCACTGATGTTGCTATTCCTAATGGTTGCGTTATAAAGAATTTGTAAACTGGATGAAAATTTTTCTTAAAGTTTACCTTGAAAACTATTCCAAAATAAAAGTGTTAACACGTTGTATTTAGCCGTTATGATAACAGTAATGATGATAATAATGAAGTTTACTAAATGCTTACCATATAAAAGGCACAGAGATAAGCACTCGATATAAATGATCTCACTTAATTAAAATAACCCATGAGATAAATCCCATTATTAGCCTCATTTTGCAGATAAGTTAACTTTTACAAGGGCACACAGCTTGTAATGGTAGAACCAAATGAACACTCAGAATGTGTGATCCCAGACTTTTAATCACTGTATTAATTATCTATTGTTGCATAATAAATTACTATAGGCTTGGAGGCTTACAACTACACATATTAATTATCTCACAGTTTCTAGAGGGTGGAAGTCAGGCACAGCTGAGCTGGGTTCTCTGCTTTAGGGTCTCACCAGGCTATGATGTAGGTCTTGCCTGGGGCTGTAGTCTCATCAGTGGCTCAACTGAAGAAAGACCTGCTTCCAGGATTCTCAGTTATTGGCAGAATTCATCTCCTTGTGGTTGTAGGACTAAGATCCCTGCTTGTTGCTGGACGTCAGCTGGATGCCAGCTCCTAGAGGCCACCCCACCTTTCTTTGCTAGGTGGCCCTCTTCATAGGCTGTCTCACAATATGGTAGCTTACTTCTTCAAAGCCAGCAAGGAGGGTCTCTCTGACGCCAGTCTGCTGAGATGAGATCTTATACACCATATAAGATAATCACAGGAGTGACATCCCATTAAATTTGTCATATTCTATGATAGCAAAAGCCATATTCTATTGGTTAAATATAAGCCACAGGTCCCACCTGAACTCAGGGGGAAGGGAAGGTGTGAAAAGGAAGCAGGCATCACAGACTTTAGAGTCTGTCCACCACAAGGACTAGCTAAGTAACACAGAATGCTATCATTCGCGGGCCACCTTCACAATTTTTGTCAAATTTGTAATACCATCTACAATATCTTAATTTTGTATATTTCTTTAAATAACTCCCTTTTTTAAATAATCATTTTACAAAAAGCTTTTATATCAGTCATAAAGGGAAAACAAATATCACTTGCCATAAATAGAAGGTAGCTGAACAACTTACACTGGAAGTAAAACAATAATATGAAATTTAAAAGTAAAAATTAGGAAAAACAAAGATTGGCACTATATATAGGTCCACTTAATCTTCATCATTTACGATAAATTATATCACCTTCAGGATTAACAATGGAAACAGAGATCCATAAAAATCTGATAAATTGCCCATGACCACTCAGCTTGTAAGTGGTTATGTACCAAGATTCAAGTCTATGGCTACTAGAGGCATAAGAACCACAGTCTGGGCAGCACCCAACTTCATTATTCATCCCAATTTTCCTTGTTCCTTTACCTTTTCCTTTTCATAACACTACTTGTCTTCTCAGCCTGTCTCCTAACTTTTTTTTTTTTTTTTTTTTTTTTTTTTGAGACGAAGTCTTGCTCTGTCACCCAGGCTGCAGTGCAGTGGCATGATCTCAGCTCAGCCTCCCGAGTAGCTGGGACTACAGGCGTCCGCCACCACAGCCGGCTAATTTTTTTTGTTGTTGTTGTATTTTTAGTAAAGACAGGGTTTCACCATGTTAGCCAGGATGGTCTCAATCTCCTGACCTCGTGATCCGCCCGCCTTGGCCTCCCAAAGTGCTGGGATTATAGGCATGAGCCACCATGCCCTGCCTCTCCTAACTTCTTTAACCCTGAAATTCACCTTTAGATACCAGAAATCAACACAATATAAGGGCAAAGAGCAAGTATGCTTAGGTTTTAATAATGGCTTTATCTCTTACTACTTATGTTGTCTGGGGCAAGTTACCAATGGTCTCATCTGTTAAATGGAAATTATAATAGTAAGTGATTAATAAATGTGAGCATAAAAATTTTGATAATGTAATTTGTATCATATTACACAGAAGTATCCAAGATATTCAACCTCGACTGTGCACCCACATGTGCTCATGCATGTGTGTGTGTGTTTACTGCAGTTGGATTTTTCACTCCTTCTGAGAGATGAGTGCAAACAGAAACAAACTACTTCCACAAATTGTATTGTTTGTGCATTTCAGTTTTTAAAGCGTACTACATTTTATCTCTTTTGGAAGCAATGTATTTGAGTGGGACTGAGAAGGTATGGGGTCTTAGAAGCAAAGTGAAGGGTTGGCCTTACCAATGAGTATGGACAGGACACCCTTAGCACTGGGGAAGGGTGGCATTTGTGGGCACAGAGGCAGATAGGTGAGTCCATGCAATGGGAGATACTTGTGGTCATTCTTTTCTTATTGCTTCAAGGACATTTCTCTAAAAATTCTTCCTCCACTCTTTCCCAACATCAATTTTCCATCTCAAATATATAGTTTGTATTAGCATAAAAACATGTATTTATTTCTCCCATCTAAAATAGAAAGAACTCTTTATTGACCAAACTTCATACTCCAGTTATCATTCTATTTCTCTCCATTCCTTTACAGTGAAACATATTGAAAGAACTGTTTGTATTCGTTGTCTCTGTATTTTCTCTTCCCATTCTTTCTTGAAGACACTTTAATGAAGCTTTCACCCCTGACTTCTCCACTGAAACTTCTCTTGCCCAGACCACCCAAACCTGCCATATTGCTAAATCCAATAATTAACTTTCAGCTTTGATCGTACACACCCCATCAGCAGCATTTGACACAGTTGATTCCTCCATCTCTCCTGAACCACACACTCTAGATTTTCCTTCTAGCTCCTTGGTGACTCCTTCTTAGTCTCTTCTGCTGCCTCCTTTTTATCATCCAAATTGTAACACTAGTGTTCCCCATGGCTCAATCCTTGGACCTCTTCTCATTTTTATTTGCAGTTACTCCTTTGGAGATCTCATTCAAATGTGTATCTCTAGTCCAGATCTCTCCTTGAATCCCAGACTCTTCTATCTTACCCAACATCTCCATTGGGATATCTCAATCTTAACAAGTCTACAATTTGACCTACTCTTTTCCGCATCCCTGTAAGTGGCAACTGTCTTCTCCCAACTGCTTAGATAAATACCATGTGTCAGACAAATAGTCTGTGACTCTTCTTTTTTACACTGCCCATTCAATCTGTCTGCAATTCCCATCAGTGCTACTTTCTACTCTTCTCATCTTCCTCTCTTCTATGTGCTTGACCAAGCTACCATCATCTCTTTCCTGGATTCTTGCAACGAATCTCCTAATTATTCTCCCTGCTTCTGCCCTTGCCACCTCCACCCCTCACAGTCTAATCTTACCAGGCAACCCGAATGCCCTTATTAAAACAGAAAACAGATCTTATATTTCTGCTCAAATCTCTCCAGTGGCTTCCTATGTCACTCAGAGAAAAGCTAACATCCCCCAGTGATCACTAAGGCTTCCACTGCCTTGTTGGTGTAATTTCTCACTATTCTTCACCTTGCTCAGTGAACTCCAGTCATACTGGCATCCTCACTGTTCCATGAACACACCAGGCATGCTCCATCCTGTGGAGCTGTTCTCTTTGCACTTGCTATTCTCTTTCTGTGGAAAAGAGGCCCACTCTTGCTGACTTTTATAAAATTGCAAGCCCCTCTCAACACTTCCTGCTTTACTTTTTTCTCTTTAGCACTTACTGATATTTGTATATGTTGTACATATTTTTTGTTTAAGTTCCAACAAAGCAGGGATTTTTTTTTCTGTTTTATTTGTTGCTGCTGAGATCCTAGTCCTTAAAGCAATGCCTGGCATAGAGTGAGTGTGCAATAAATATTTTTTGAATGAAATAACCATCATCAAGATGATATGATTTACCTAATTATATTAGTTTTGTAAGGACTGTAATGATAAAGGTCTTCCCCAATGTTTCACATGATTCTGAAGCGGGAGGGTGCTCCATTAGTACAACTGTTACTCACACATTCCAAATAATTCAAAGTTAACTCATCCTCTTACTAGTTATACAAAAGAAAAGATAAATGTCTTATTGAGGACAATGATTTCAAAATAGGTATCCAAAGATCAATAATGGACATAGAATTAAAAATGAAAAAATCAGAAATAGAAAATGTTAATTAGTAAATATGAGCTTACCTTTAAGAAGGGAATCACTTTAAGTGGATAGATACTAAGAAGTAAATCACCTGGACTTCAATGATATTTTGTTTGGGAACTTTGTTGTGAATTGCTTTCTCTGGGCTATTATGAAAGTTGAATTGCAGAATATTAAAGACCCAGGGTACCAAAGCAAGCACTTATGTGTTGACTAATCAGCCTGGAGCAAAGGTTTTAAGAAAGATTAAACTTGACTATGTCCTCACTTTTATCATGAATTAAAGATTATCCTAGTTGTGTTTCTTGAAATTCAATGTTAAAGAGATAAGGATGTTAAACTGAACTAGAAAGCCTGTCTTTGTCTATTTGGAAACATAAGCATCTGTCTGTGAAACATGTTTTTCATAATTGTTAGACATCATGACAACAGCTAATTAAGAAGATACTAATAATTCATAAAATGTGCATAGTGTCAAACGTTTCAGATATACAAGGGTCCCTAGGGTGTTTCTTCTTTTCCACCCTGAACTAAGTTCTTCATTTTATGTCCTATAAAAGGTTGAATTAACTCCTGGAAGCTGAAATCGCCATTAAAATTGTCTTTCTGCTGTAGCTGCTTATAAAAAACTTGATTTAAATAAAAATACTTCCAACGGTTTCTAAATTTAATAATACAATGTAGATACTTCATATAAAAATTCTGCCACTTATTATGAGAATAAAGGATGAAGGTTTGTTTACTGTTCAGCCAAGGGATATTTTCTTTTAATTATTTATGGCAGGGAAAAATTAATTTATCTATAAGAGAACCTGCAAAGGCCCTTTTCTTGCTGAGCTGACTGAGTCCACGAAGATGCAAAGCAGAGCTGGGAGGCTGCATTAGAGAGAAATTGCACCATTTATGCAAAGTCAGGGCAAGACTCGAGCCAGGCAGCGGGAGAGGTCACTTGTGAAGAAGGTTCCAGAAAGGGGAAGACCTAACTGTTTGTAGTGTCTAAAAGATTGTGGAGGAAAGGAGAAATATGGAAGGTGATGCCCAGAGAAGAACTTTTGGGGGAAAGTGGGGAGGGGGGAAATGCTTAGATAAGTTTTTATGATGTTTTGCCATATAGTGATAATTCCCTTTTTCCAATTGCTATTTTTTCCAGTACACATTAAAATAAATACCTGTTAAAATTTTTTTTTTAAATTCCAACAAACAAAACTATCTTGTATATAGACAAAATCGTACAAGCAGTCCATTCTTCACAGCATGCTCCACACTGTACTGTGCAGCACAACTGTACAACAGGCAGCATGATCCTCCTCAAATTCTGGTAGCTAAACACTGCAGTACAGGTGATGCTTTAGGATACACAACAGGACACTTTCCATCACTTTAATGTGCGCTATTTGGAAAAGCATTAGGCTTTTTAAGTTCTAACGAATAAATCACGAAATAACATTGAAAAGATCTATACAGAAGAAGCCCTAGGCCTGTAGAGAATACTTATGAAGCTTAAAATATAAATCTTGCATTAATTGAACAAAGCTATCTAGTTTTGATGGGAATCAGAATTTTGACAGAGTCAGAATGGGTCAGAGGGAGGACTTCCATTATTTTAGATTAAGTAGCAATTCAGATCTTTTATTTCTTCATATAAAAATTCTGCCACTTAGGAATGAGAATAAAAGAAGAAGGCATGATTAAGGAGAAAAATATGAATGTGCTATTAATGTTAAGAAAAAAATGCAATTGTCTGAGACAATTTAGAACTTAAAGAGTAAGATTTATCAACTATACACTCAGTTTGTATAGGAAAGATTTTCTGGAACTCCACAAAGGTGGAAGAAACAACATTTTTAATTCTGTTTGTTGTACCAGGGAACCTCTAATTAAGATGGTCTTTGAGAAAGCTGGTTCTTCTTTCCTGAGAATAAGAACCTGTTTCCTTACAGCCACATTCATCTCACCATTTTTCCAATTCTCTTGGAGACATTCCAGAAAAATGCTGCTTCCGTGTTATAAACATTCAAGAGCTGAGGTCAGCCTAACAGATCTGAAAAAAATCCCATTTATCTGAAGTGTCCCAAGATCAGATAACAAGTATATGCATATTATGCTTCTAATATTTGATACCTTGGCACAACTCGCAGGTTGTACGAACTGCAACTGTATCATACAAAGAAAAACCTGGATGTCTGACTTCAAAGATCTATCCCCTCAGCCTTGAGGAACAGAATCAGAAGTATCTTAAATTACCAATGTGTTGTTCTTATTGACTATGAAAAGCTCCAGAAGCTTTGCACAATGTTTAGGGAGAAGCCGAGAAGAGTTACATAATTCAGTTAACGGGCCAAGTTCTACAAATGTGCACAGTATTCCTGAGAACACCATAAGCCCATCATGGATTACTATCAGAGGCCTGGCTGGCCTCTTGTACATTCCTTACTTAGTTCTGCCTTGAAGCTCCCCATGCAGAGAAGGAAGGAAGGGGAAGAACCAAACACTGGTAAGGCACTCTTGAGCTTGGGGACCTGAAAAAAATAGCCTGAATGTCTCTTAAAACTGGAATCTTTTTTGTAAGTTCCAGCTGCTTTTGGCCAAATTGGCCAGGCAGTCTCCTCTGGTGTACGAGGATGCCCAAGCTCATGATATTTCCTGAAATGTAAAAAGAGCCTCTAGAGAGAGTGACTGGATTTCACTCAAAGTTTTCTTTAATCCACGCGAACAGAACCCTCCATTTACATATACAGAGAAATGGCAGACGTAGGAAGTTAGATAAGGAATCACACTTTGAAACAATCCATTTAATTGGAATAGAATATTTTGATTTTCATGGAATCATTTGGCATTAAAATTATCTCAAAAGCAAACTGTGCTGTCAAAGTCTAAATATTGGAACATTCCCCAAACTCTGAAGACTGGAAAACTCTGACCAAATGAAATGTTTGGTTAACATTAAGACTGCTTGCTTATTTCTTATTGCCTCTTCATATGAATAGATATGTATATATTTTTTTCTCATCCAAGCAAACTATTTACCTCTTTCTCCATTTGCAATCCTTCTGCTCTAATGTTTCTTTCAAATACTTCTCTCTTTTCAGTCTGGGGGTTGGATTTTCTGTACACAAGGATGTAGTCAATTCGACACTTTCCATCTCGAAAGTAAAGTCCATTTGATTTGTTTCTTTCTGGCACTGTCTGCACACAAAGAGAAAGGGACCAGTTTAAGTCATTCATCAAATTGAGGTTCAAGTGAGTAATGTTAAAGAACAATTAAAACTAAATAACTTTTTTCAGTTCGGGTGCGGTGGCTCATGCCTGTAATCCCAGCACTTTGGGAGGCCGAGGCGGGTGGATCACGAGGTCAGGAGTTCGAGACCAGCCTGGCCAATATGGTGAAACCTTGTCTCTATTAAAAATACAAAAATTAGCTGGGCATGGTGGCGTGTGCCTGTAGTTCCAGCTACTCTGGAGGCTGAGGCAGGGGAATTGCTTGAACCTGGGAGGTGGAGGTTGCAGTGAGCCCAGATCGCGCCACTGCACTTCAGCCTGGGCAACAGAGTGAGACTCCATCTCAAAATAATAATAATAATAATAATAATAATAATAATAATAATTTTTTTCATTGTGTTCAATTACATATTCATTAGTGAAAAATGTAATCAAGAGGAAACAAAATAAAAATTGGAAGAAGCATTGAGTTAAGTGCGCAAAATGTAAAACATCTAAAAATACCGTGTGTAGCCAAGAATGTGATGCAACTAAGGATTTTCATATCCTGCAGGTGAGATGAGAGTGAAAATTGATATGCTCACTCTGGAAAACACATTAACATTATCTTGCAAAACTGAATATGTGCATAACATGTAAGCCTAGAGAAAAAATTCTTGATAAGGCAAGTAGGAGACATGTATATGAATATTCATGGCAACATTACTTATAATAGTAGAAAAATGTTTAAAGTTGGAGTCAACTCAAATGTCCATGAACAGACAATAAATAGATAAATAAATTATAGACAGTTCATTCACTGGAATATTATACAGCAGTGAAAATGCATAAACTATAGTTGCATCTAACAATAAAAATGAATCTTAAAGACAACACTGATAAAAAAAGCAAGTCTCAGAAGACTTCATACCACATGATACCATTTTTTACAAAGCATAAAATAAAGTAAATCTAAATATAAGTTGTTAAGACTACGAATCTATGTGGTAAAACTGTCTTTAGAGCAAGAGAATAAAACACAATAAAATTTAGAAAGATGATACCTCTGGTAGGGTAGAGGTATGGGATTGAAAGTAGCTTCCGTGGTTTTAGGAATATTCTAGTTCAGTGTTTCTCTTTTTTTTTTTTACCCACAACAAGAAAAACATTTTACCTTTGTGTGCATATATGTAAACATACATATACAAAATATGAGACAAGTTTCACAAAACAATTGTTTACCCTTTCTGTTTTCATACACTCCAATATTAATTTTCCATTCCATTAAAAAAAAACTGGAGTTAGTAATCTACAATTAGTTTGTCACTATAATTTGAAAAATAGCATTCTGGTTCATAAATCAGATGGTGGTTCCAGGTGTTCATTTTATTATCATACTTTGTAACTTACATAGAAGTTACAAATATTATTTTGCAGTAATATTAAAAAGTAAAGAACAAAAGGAGTGGATTGAATTTTCATCCAGGCTCTTCGGGCTTGCTGTACAACATTGAAAGAGACCATCAAGTATGGGCTCACTGGGCTGGAGCCAAATTTCTCAGCCTAATAGATTTCAAAATTGTGTCTATAAACCCAGCCAAGTGGATGGGTGGATTCTATCTTTTCCAATGGTGGTATGAAGAAGGTAAACATGCCAGACCTGAAGGGCCATTGCTAGAAACCACATTCTTGCACAAACCTTAATCGAAAAAAACATCTCAGCTGGGGAAATGGAATGACCATGTACCATGTCTTGATGTAGACATTTTCAATTGATGACCAATCCTCACTATGTTTTGGATTTTACATTAAGAGACACTCAGGAGTCTACCTGAATAAGCACTTTAGTTAACACTTATTTGCCAAGCAAGAAGGCTGTCCTGTGAATTCAGCATATTAGCATCTGCCTTCAAAAATGGCTTCAGCCAAGACATTAGGAGGGGTATTGGCTCCAAGCAGAACAATGAGCTGTGCCACCTTTGGCAAAGCCCTAATATTTCTGATACTGTTTCCTCATCTGTAAGTTACAGGGATGAGACAAGTTGCTGTCTGAGGTCCCTTTCAAAGTCCATTCTTTACGCCACATTATGGTTTCCAAAGTATCTGTGTAAACAGATAATAACAGAATGAGTGTTTTTTTTTAATGAAACAAACAGAAAAAAAAAAAACAGAAAAAGAAACTTGGATAGCTGCATATGGTGTTTGTGGGGTGAAGTCTGCAAAGCTTGGCAAGAGTAAACAATTTTCTCTGTTCCAGGTGTCATCCTTTTAGCAGTTAACTAGCTCTGGAATATAAAAACCTTAGGAATATGCAATAAATAAATTACTCTGATTCGGTGTGCCTATTACCTGTACCCAGTACATGTACAAAGGAAATATTAAACTCTATTGAGACACAACCTGAACAAAGGGGAATGCCTCCAAAAAAAATACTAATTTTTCCAAAATGGCACACAAATAGATAGGTCTATTTACAGTTGCAATGAAGTTTCCAGATTACAGAGGCAAATGGAAACTCAGAGAGACTTCAGACAACACAATCAACTGAAGGCTGGTGCATTTTAGGTCACTATTCTACCCACTGGGGGATCTATACAAGGAAGCCCATCCCTGTAAAGTTTATTTTGTACCAGTGGGAGACACTCAAGAATGTAGGCTATCTTAAAATGACGGACAGTTTAAAAAAATGATAGGTTTAAGAAAAACTGAAACTTTGTTTTGTGTATAGGTAGATTTAGGATCCTTGAAATATGCTTAGACATGGGGGATGTCAAAGGAATATAAAACCTGTCCCTTGTTTTACAAGAGCCTACAGTTCAATGAGATTATGACTTTAAACAGTCCATTGGAACATGCTTCACAGGTTCCTGCCTGGATCACGAATTACATTTGTAAGAAATCATATACTCTTACCTCTCCCCCGGCTTCCAATCTGCTGGCATCATCTGAAGTACTAGTCAGGTTTCCAGGGTGAAGAAGAGAATCGTCATCTTTGCAAGGACTGCTGACAGCTTCTAATTCATCAAAAAGAATATTGACATCCTTGGCCACTAGAACCAAAGTAAATACATTATAAGGTGGGTAAAAATCTGGGATCTTGAAAGCAATGCTAAAAGAGAAAACATCTCCCTTTGGGTTCATATTTTCTCATCATTTCATTAACTCCTTGAGTGACAAGCATATTATTTCCTAAAAGAAAAGTATGTCAGACATAAAACATGTTTGACCAAACAGTGTATTCATTAGGCAAGATTAAGGAAAATAAAAAGCAAAGTACATCCGTAATGTAAATATAATTTGTCTTCCATGATAGCAGGAGGTGTTATATTTGTTTCGCTTTCCTTCACATAGTTGTTTGGCATAAGGTACTTTGATTTAAGACTTCTAGGTTGGAAAAGGGTTGGAGATGACCTATACTTTTAAATTAAATTTAATTTTTTCATTTAAGTGTCGTATAGCTTGCCAAGTGAACCCATAAACGTGCCACTTGAACTATTCAGTAAGAACTGTGATTTTTTTCCTCCTTTGTTACTTCTCTAAGACAGAACAGAGA
This sequence comes from Homo sapiens, assembly GCF_000001405.40. Taxonomy (NCBI): domain Eukaryota; kingdom Metazoa; phylum Chordata; class Mammalia; order Primates; family Hominidae; genus Homo; species Homo sapiens. Next base: position 100,938,811 of record NC_000012.12, on the reverse strand, counting down.
AAACCTAATGCAACAATAAAGCATGCACTTAGATTTTTGGCCTTTTTTCTTCCTCTTATCCTGAATTGAAATAATGAAGTGAGCCATTCAGAAGCTCTCTCAAAAGACTGTTGACGTTAATAACATGTCAATATATAAAGTGCTGTATATCACGGTTCTAGGTACAGGCTACCACGTTCAAATGCAGAGTGCCTTACAGCACGCCAGAAATTTAAGTTCATCACCAGCAGAGGAAAGATATGGGTTGAGTCCCTTCTGTTTTATCCACTTCAATTATGGGCCAGCATTGCAGTTCACTTTTTCTTTTGATGCTTTAAAAATGGCTGAGGGTTTATAACCTGTCAGAAGCCACTGCACAAAATAATTCATGAGGGATTGGGTTCTTCTTACCCAAGCACGTAATACAGTATTCATTCTTTCATTCAAAAACATTTTAGAGATGTGCACATTGTGTGTCAGGCATAGAGCTGTGTGATGATTGCACCTTGGTGAATAAAAGTGACCTGGCTTCCTGCCCTTGTGGCAATAACTGAAGAAAACAAAGACACGTAACTTGTGGTGAATTCTCTAATGAAAAGAGCAGAGTTTGGATATAGAGAGAATAGAGATGATCTACGTAGATGAGATGACCAGGTATAAAGCTATATCCAAGCATGTGATTTTAGGCAACACTTTTAGCTTTCCAAGTTTTTCATCTGTAAAATATAATGGGCATAGGAATAAAGTTAACATTTATTGCTAACTACGAGAGGGTGAATTATGACCCCCCCAAAGGTGATCTGATTCCTAGAACGTGTTAATATCTTACCTTTTTATCACCGAAAGGATTTTATAGATGTGTGAAACAAAGGATCTTAAAATGGGGACATTGTCTTAGAGTATATAGGTAGGCCTGATGTAATTACAAGGGTCTTAAGAAGAGGGAGGCAAGAAGGCCAGAATCAGAGAGAAAGATTGGAAGATGCTATGCTGCTGGCTTTGAGGATACAGGATGCGGCCACGAGCCAAGAAACGCGGGTGGCTTTTAGAAGACAGAAAAGACAAAAAAGCAGATTCTCCCCTGGAGCCTCCAGAGAGGAGAGTCTTGATTTTGGGACTTCTGACCTCCAGAAGTATAAGATAATAAACATATTGTTTGAGGCCACTAAGCTTGTAGTCATTTGCTATAGCACCAAAAGGAAACTAAAACAATATATTATAGGATTTTAGACCTATAAGGCTACAAAGAAAAAAAACCATGGTCTTTTCATACAGCCAAGGGTTGTAGCACCTACATTGTGCCAGGTACTGTGCTAGGTGCTTATGGAGAGGAACTAACACTTTTTGAGGAAGACTAATATGTCCAGTGTTTTGGGAGCTGTCAAGATCAAAGACAACTTCCCTGACCACTGGATGTAAAAAGATCTCCCTCCCATAATTGTTGTCCTCTCATTGTTCATTTCATTTCCAGCACTTAACACAATCCTTAATTATCTTATTTGTTCATTTATTTATTAGACTTGTTTATTGGATGTTTACCTTATTACAATGTAAGTTCCATAGGGCAAGGACCTTGTCTGTCTTGACTGATGTACAGAGGCTCTGGCACAGGTAAGCCTTCAACACATATTTGTTAAATGACAGAATGATGACCTGAAGATGGTCACAATGTAACGATATCTGAGAGCCCTTTTCCTCTAACATTCTATGGTTCTGGGACTTGGCATATGGTTTTCCTAACATGATTCTTATTCACAAGCCAGGATTCCATGGTTTCAAGTAATGTGATTAAATTTTCAAGCAGACAGTGATTAAATTAAATTTCAAGTCGATGTTGATGATATTTGAACAATAAGATAAAAGTATCGTTTAACCAAGTCAGAGGACCTGCTCGCTATTCTGAACTCTGCCACTTAGCTGTGTAAATATGTGCTTCTGTTTCCTCACTGGTGAGACAGGAATAGCAAACTTCTCTCTCAGGGTGGCGAAGAGGATTACATCAATGTGCATATTAGCAGGGTGACTGACACATGGCAGACCCACAACAAATGCTGATTTGTCGATTCTAGCTAGACTCTGGGAGCTTAAAGTGAGTATTTTGGTCTTATCAATATGAGAAGGCAGAAGAGATATTTACAAGTTGGAATGGTTGTTATGAGAAATGGTTTAGGACGGGGTGTGAGATAAAGGGGGAACAAGGACACTGAGGTTCATGTCTAGGTGACTGGCTCATACTAAGGAGAAACTCTTGATATATGTATGTATCCCCTTAGGCTTTTCCCAAGGATAGAAAATATCAGGTCATCTTCTATCAATATTACTTTCTGGCACTGGCACAATCAGTTCAACAATGCCCTCTATGTCCGTGGTTCTCAACTGGGACCAGTTTTGTCTCCCAGACCATATTTGACATTGTTTGGAGATATATTTATTGTCATTACTGGGGAGAGGGGGACAGTGAAAGTGGTATTCAGTGAGTAGAGGCCAGGGATGCCGCTATACATCCTACAATGCACAGGACAGCCCCTACCACAGAGTGATCCAGCCTAGAATATTAATTGGTGCTGAAGTTGAGAATTCCTACTCTTCATGAAAAGCCCAAGGGATTTGATTCTAGAAGGAGCAGCTAACTTGGGAAAGGAAGAGAGCTCTTTCTTTCCCATCAGAATCACTGTCTGGAAGTCATGGGGCTACTGCCACTTGAGCTCAGGGAAATCAGTCAGTCATGGCAATCTGTTAGACAATAGGTGATACTAAGCCAACCTTATCACTTGCCAGCCTCTCAGTATCTTCAGCAGAGATTAGAAAGTCTGCTGTGAGAGAATGTCCAGCTGAACCCGTGGTCAGTAAGAAGACTGTAGACCATATAAACACTCCACAGGCATAAAAAGTATGTGCACTTCATCCATATTTCATCACTGTTTCTGATATTATCAGCTATAACTACAAGGTAAGTTTTAGAAACAAAATAAAATCTTTGATTCAAACTTACATTGATTCTCTAAGAAGAAAAAAGCAACTCTCAACTTCCAACACTAACCAATTTTTAAAATAAATTTTAATCAATAAGTATATTCAGTGCCTACCACGGGCAGACACTGAGCTGAGCTAGGAACCGGGGCTGAAGTACTGGAGAGCCCAGGCATGGCCCTGCTCTCAGAGCTCACTGTCCAGTCAGAGTGGGAGTGAGGCCTTTCTATCCATGGGCACGAACATCACAAAGATGCTGTTCATCCAAACAGGGTCATTTGTGAATGAATCCCATCACCTTCCTTAGACTTCTTCTCCTAAATAGAAAAATGTTTGATAATTATCTGCCTGGTAGAATATTGCTGTTAGGTTCATTAAATGAGAAAGAGAGTCAAATACTCTGAGAAGTCCATTAAGAATGACAGGAAGGATGGGAGGCAAGGCTGGTTCAACATATGCAAAACAATAAACTTAATCCATCACATAAACAGAATCAACGACAAAAAACACATGATTATCTCAATAAATGCAGAAAAGGCCTTCAACAAAATTCAACAGCCCTTCATGCTAAAAACTCTCAATAAATTAGGTATTGATGGAATGTATCTCAAAATAATAAGAGCTATTTATGACAAACCCACAGCCAATATCATACTGAATGGGCAAAAACTGGAAGCATTTCCTTTGAAAACCAGCACAAGACAAGGATGCCCTCTCTCACCACTCCTATTCAACATTGTATTGGAAGTTCTGGCCAGGGCAATCAGGCAGGAGAAAGAAATAAAGGATATTCAATTAGGAAATGAGGAAGTCACATTGTCCCTGTTTGCAGATGACATGACTGTATATTTAGAAAACCCCATCATCTCAGCCCAAAATCTCCTTAAGCTGATAAGCAACTTCAGCAAAGCCTCAGGATACAAAATCAATGTGCAAAAATCACAAGCATTCCTATACACCATTAACAGACAAACAGAGAGCCAAATCGTGACTGAACTCCCATTCACAATTGCTACAAAGAGAATAAAATACCTAGGAATACAACTTACAAGGGATGTGAAGGACCTCTTCAAGGAGAACTACAAACCACTGCTCAATGAAGTAAAAGAGGACACAAACAAATGGAAGAATATTCCATGCTCATGGATAGGAAGAGTCAATATCATGAAAATGGCCATACTGCCCAAGGTAATTTATAGATTTAATGCAATCCCCATCAAGCTGCCAATGACTTTCTTCACAGAATTGGAAAAAACTACTTTAAAGTTCATATGGAACCAAAAAAGAGCCCACATTGCCAAGACAATCCTAAGCAAAAAAAAACAAAACTGAAGGCATCATGCTACCTGACTTCAAACTATACTACAAGTACCAAAACAGCATGGTACTGGTACCAAAACCAAAATATAGACCAATGGAACGGAACAGAGTCCTCAGAAATAACACCACACATCTACAACCATCTGATCTTTGACAAACCTGACAAAAACAAGAAACGCAGAAAGGATTCCCTATTTAATAAATGGTGCTGGGAAAACTGGCTAGTCATATGTAGAAAGCTGAAACTGGATCCCTTCCTTACACCTTATACAAAAATTAATTCAAGATGGATTAAAGATTGAAATGTTAGACCTAAAACCATAAAAACCCTAGAAGAAAACCTAGGCAATACTATTCAGGACAAAGGCATGGGCAAGGACTTCATGATTAAAACACCAAAAGCAATGGCAACAAAAACCAAAATAGACAAATGGGATGTAATTAAACTAAAGAGGTTCTGCACGGCAAAAGAAACTACCATCAGAGTGAACAGGAAATCTACAGAATGGGAGAAAAATTTTGCAATCTACCCATCTGACAAAGGGCTAATAACCAGAATCTAGAAAGAATTCAAACAAATTTACAAGAAAAAAACAACCCCATCAAAAAGTGGGCAAAGGATATGAACAGACACTTCTCAAAAGAAGACATCTAGGCAGCCAACAGACACATGAAAAAATGCTCATCATCACTGGTCATCAGAGAAATGCAAATCAAAACCACAATGAGATACCATCTCACGCCAGTTAGAATGGCAGGAAACAACAGATGCTGGAGAGGATGTGGAGAAATAGGAATGCTTTTACATTGTTGGTGGGAGTGTAAATTAGTTCAACCATTGTGGAAGACAGTGTGGCAATTCCTTAAGGATCTAGAATTAGAAATACCATTCCAGCAATCCCATTACTGGGTATACACCTAAAGGATTATAAATCATGCTACTATAAAGACACATGCTCATGTATGTTTATTGTGGCACTATTTGCAATAGCAAAAACTTGGAACCAACCCAAATGTCCATCAATGATAGACTGGATTAAGAAAATGTGGCACATATACACCACGGAATACTATGCAGCCATAAAAAAGGATGAGTTCACGTCCTTTGCAGGGACATGGATGAAGCTGGAAACCATCATTCTTGGCAAACTATCACAAGGACAGAAAGCCAAACACCGCATGCTCTCACTCATAGGTGGGAACTGAACAATGATATCACCTGGACACAGGACGGGGAACATCACACACCGGGGCCTGTTGTGGGATGGGGGGCTCGGGGAGGGATATCATTAGGAGAAATACCTAATGTAAATGATGAGTTGATGGGTGCAACAAACCAACATGGCACATGTATACCTATGTATCAAACCTGCACGTTGTACACATGTACCCTAGAACTTAAAATATAATTTTAAAAAAATGCAAAAAAAAAAAGAATGACAAGAAGGAGAGAAAATGCAAAACTACCATGCAACTCAAGTAATAGATCTGCATTTCATTCAGACCCAGGAAGGGCTGTGTGAACAGAATTAGGCAGCACAGATTGGTCAGGGTAGGTGTATACCATGCATTTGGGAAGGCAAGGGGGATACTCAAATGATTCCCTATTGCAAAGATTAGAAGCTCAGCCTAAAAAATGACTTGGGAACAAAACAGCAAGGACTCACATATTATAACTGAACAACGAGGATCAAGGACCTTAAATTGCCTGGGAGACGAAAAATCAGCTAAAGAGTCTGAGTAAAGCATTAAACTCAGAGATTTATGACAGCTGGCTTGGTTTACATCATCCCAGGATGGAGGCAGAGCAGAAAAGTCAGGAGAGGACCAGCAGGCAGGCAGATCATGGTGATCTTTACATGATGAAAAGGTGAATTTACTTTGGTAATACTAAATCTACTAATCAAATCAACTATTTGCAATTATTTCAATTATTCCTCCAGTGAAAATCATTTGAGATGTTAGCTATTGTTAATACCCTATGGATAAGAGATCACAAATATATTTCAAGGACTCAAATAAATGGACGAACTAATTAATGAATTATTTTCTGCCATTTGTTCATTGAACAAAGATTTAGAGTTAAGTGCTGGACATGACATGAGTGGGAAGCCCTCACACTTCCAGGCAAGAGAACAAAGTTTGGGAATCAATGCTATAAAGGCAATGAAAAAAAAAAACCAGCAAGTGTATTTTAGAAATAGCCTAGAAGACAGTAAGAAATACAATCAAAAAAATCAAAGACTTTGATTCATTGCTCTTTTCTTTACTTCTCTATTTTCCAAATGCAGCAAAATAACCCCACCTTGATATTACAGTATAGAAGTTTCAGATATATAAATTTCAGATGCAGAGAAAAGAAGGTGAAATTACAGGTCATTGAAGAAGACAGAAGAGGGCTTTGCAGCATAATCCAAGTATCTATATTCATTCTCTAGAGCGCCAGTTCATTATACTATTTTTGTCCTAAGTTCCAAGTTATTGCATCTGATACTCAGAATTCTCAAGGGATTACATACTGACCTCAAAGTATCACTTAAAAAAAAAAAAAAAGAACACCTCCGGGAATATTTTAGAATGCAAAAAATGTTTATATCTCAATTTTAACACTTACCAGATTGTTTTATAATAAGTCCATCTCTATGTCTTTAGACTAAGGTCCCTTTAAGGTGAAGAGCTAAGGTAGCTCCAATTCGGCTTAAGGGCTACCAAGTAGGAGACACTCAATATGCATTTTAAGATAAATAAAAGCTAATTGTAGGATGACATCAATTTTCAGTTTTTTCTTATTCTGATTACCTTAGTAAGATGGCTTGAAAATGTCTACTTCTCTCTTAGAATCACAGAGATTAAACATGAAGGAAGTGGGAAAGGAGACAAAGATAGGAATTACAGTTTACTGACAGCCTGCTGTGTGTTAATGATTTTCAGGTCTATTTTCTCATTTCATTCTCAAAACAACCTATGAGACAAGTATTATTATAAAGAAGCCAGGTTCAGAAATGCTAAGTGTGGCCATGCAGCTAGTAAGTGACAAAGATGAATTTTCATTCAATTCAGACCCCAAATCCATACCATTTCTAGCTGGCTTTTGTTTTTGTGGGAAGCATTTTACTGTTCTTAAATCATGTTTGGCTTTCAAGAATGGAAGTCATTTAACCACCAAGCAATTATCTTGTTGCCATTTCAACATTTATCTGAATAAAGCTAGACTTTACATCTGTAGTCTGACAGCTCTGACAACTTTCTAAAATTTAACAAATAGATCCATTATTGTCTTAAAAATTCACGGAAATACAAAGACACAATACAGCTTTGAACACCTTAGGCTGGGATTTTAAGAACTAAACACTATTTAGCATGTATATGACACGAGCAAGCCCAAGACTCTCTAGATGCTCATTATTCTTCAAATGTATCTTGACAGCATCCCTAAGGCAAAGGCTGCCTGGTTTACCAATAAGAAAAAAGGAGGTTTAAGTTTAAAAACTCAAAATAAATAAATAAAGCAATTAGAAAGGACATAATGCTTCCTTAGCCGATTTTACTCCCTTCTAATAGGCCAGCAGTTTTCAATCTCTGTTCTCTGGAACCCTACAGCCCTTTTGAGGAGTTTCAGGGGCCATGGAGCAGACAAAGAGACAACTGAGCGGGCAAGGCTCACCTTCTACCCCTACCTATACCAAACAACTCAGTTTCTGTTTTGTATATTGAAGTTATATGTTGATCATATATTGGGGAAAAATACATTTTACTGCTTTTACAAAAGTTTAGAAACTTCTGCTAGTGTGTTCTGGCAACAATTAAATGGTTGTGTTGACATCTCCCTAAAGAACCTGCGGTTCTAGTTATTACAGATATGACAGCAGGAACCTTCCTTCTGCCACAGAAAGTTATTGAGATTTAAAATATGCCTTTGCAAACAAACAAAAAGTCATGAGATTTAAAAAAAATATTCATTTAAAACTAATTTCTGTATGGAACTGGCATAAAAACAGACACATAGATTAGTGGAACAGAACAGAGAACCCAAAAACAAATCCATACATCTATAGTAAATTCATTTTTGACAATGGTGCCAAGAACATACATTGGAGAAAGGACAGTCTCTTCAATAAGTGATGCTGGGAAAACTGGATATCCATACACAGAAGAATGAAACTAGACCCCTATCTCTCACCATATACAAAAATCAAACCAAAATGGATTAAAGACTTAAATCTAAGGCCTCACACTAAGAAACTTCTAAAAGGAAACATTAGAGAAACTCTCCAGAACATTGGACTGGGCAAAGATTTCTTGAGTAATACCTCACAAGCACAGGCAACCAAAGCAAAAATGGACAAATGGGATCACATCAAGTTAAAAAGCTTCTGCGCAGCAAAGGAAACAATCAACAAAGTGAAGAGACAACCCACAGAATGGGAGAAAATATTTGCAAACTATCCATCTGAGAAGGGATTAATAACCAAAATATATATGGAGCTCAAACAACTCTAGAGGAAAAACATCTAATAATCCAAATAAAAATGGGCAAGATGTCTGAATAAGACATTTCTCAGAAGGAGACACAGAAATGGCAAACAGGCACATGAAAAGGTGCTCAACACCACTGATCATCAGAGAAATGCAAATAAAAACTACAATGAGAAATCTCATTGTAAAATGTTCAGATTTCATAATGAGATATAATTTCATTGTAAAATAAAGTTGGAAATCAGGGCTCACCTCAGTTAAAATGGCTTTTATCTAAAAGACAGGCAATAACAACTGCTGGCAAGGATGTGGAGAAGAGGGAACCCTCATACACTGCTGGTGGGAATGTAAATCAGTACAACCACTATGAAGGACAGTTTGGAGGTTCCTGAAAAAATTAAAAATAGAACTTCCATATGATCCAGCAATTCTGCTTAGGGGTATATACCCCAAAGAAAGGAAATTAGTATACTAGCTATCTGCACTCTCATGTTTACTGCAGCACTATTCACAATAGCCAAGATTTGGAAGGAACCTAAGTGTCCATCAACAGATGAACAGATAAAGAAAATGGTGGTACATATACACAATGCAGTACTATTCAGCTATAAAAATATGAGATTCTGTCATTTGCAACAATATGGATGGAACTGGAGGTCATTATGTTAAGTGAAATGAGCCAGGCACAGAAAGACAAACTTTGCATGTTCTTATTTGTGGGAACTAAAAACTAAAAACAATTGAACTAATGGAGATAGAGAGTAGAATGGTGGTTACCATATGCTGGGAAGAGTAGTAGAGCGGAAGGGAGGTGGGGATGGTTAATGGGTACAAAAATATAATTAGATAGAATGAATAAGATCTAGTATTTAATAGCACAACAGGGTAACTAGAGTCAATAATAACTTATTGTACATTTAAAACTAAAAGTATAATTGGATTGTTTGTAACACAAAGAAAGAATGGATGTTTGAGGTGGTGGATACCCCATTTACACTGATGTGATTACTAAACATTGTATGCCTGTATCAAAATATTTCATGTACCCCATAAATATATACACCTACTATGTACCCACCAAAATTAAAAATTAAAATAAAAAAAGATGTCATTGTCATCACCTGGCTCAATAATGGCAATGTTTATAAAACAGCACAGATGATGGTATTGTATATAACCCCAGCACTCCACAATGGGGTTGAGATCATTAACTTGTTTCTGATTTAGCGTATTTGCTAAGAAGAGCTTCTCTTACTACTACTTCATTGTAAAAAAAAGGTGAACACCTTGGTTACTTCTATAAAAAGGCAAATAATGATGATGGCACTTCTTACAGCCCTGGGAATGACATTTAGAGAAGAACTATGTGCCTAATTCAATCTTTGCTCATTCATTAGCCTTGGCGACCTTTCCATAACATAAAGTGAGGTCATTCATGCTCTGCATAAAAGAGCCTCCAAGTCTACTGACCACAATTTCACCTTCTTTGGAAAGAGCATGAGCTCTGGATTCAGACAGACCTGAGTTCAAATGCCAGCCCTTCCACTTATTAGCTATTAGATTGGGATATTTAACTTATTCAAGCTTTAATTTCTTTATTTTCTAAATATTTATTTATCTTCTAAATATGGAAATACAATTTCCCAGACAGAATGAATGATTGAGGAATAAAGACAAAGGTGGCAGTCAACACTTATACACCCCTGACTGTGTACCAGGCACTATGTTAAAGGCTTTACATAGATGTACTATTACTATTTTCCTTTTACAGATGTGGAAATTAAGGCAAAGAGAGTTAAAGACTAAATAAAATAACATAGGTAAAAGGTCAGCCACAAAATTGCCAGACAAGATTATCTGCTCAATATATGCCAGCCCCCCCGGCCCCGCTCACCCCCATACCCCATACCCTGCCATCTGCTCCTCTGAAATGGCATGACCATGCAGGTTAAAAATAAAATTGGAAATCAGGGCTAAAGAATTAGATTCAAAGTGACTCACTCGGTGTCACTGAGAAATGACTCAGTCTCCTCAGCCACAAAAGTATACACCACCCCTAATGTAGGCACAGCTATATGATTATGTAGACACACGTGCAAGCACAAACAGACTGCAGGATAACAATGATCCCACAATCCTTTTAACTCCTCAGATCTCACTGCAAACACTATCTTGTGCCCTCTTTCCTTCATCAGAACCTGATGGAATACAACACAATCATGTGTTTCAGGGTATGGATGCCATTCAAGAGTGTCCCTACAGTATATATCCAGATATGCTGGGAATCATGAAAGGAAAAACTAGGAGCAAAACAAGAGGGGTGGGCAACAAATGGTAGGGGGATGAATGGTCTCTAAAAAGGGCTGGACATTGAAAATAATTTAAAGTGAGAATGAAAAAGTACAGTATAACCTTTGAATGACATGCTTCACAGTAGCCAGCTAATGTAATAAATGCTCACATACATACACACACACATACACCTGATTCATGGACTGCAGAGCTTTAAGACATGATTCTCAATCAAGTTTCAGAAGGAAATATTTTAAAATGCTTACCTCTTAAAATGTTCGGATTTGAAAACTTTGGTGATTAAAAAAGCAGTGTTTTTCTTTTTGTTTGTTTATTTTTGTTTTAATAGGTGCTACTGTACATAAGATTTGAGTAGGCACTCCACTCCTTAAACTATGGATGGAGGGTTTGAATCTTACTAGATGAACTCAAGAGTAGGAATTGCACTGTAATGTTGTTATCATTGCATCAAACTAAATCTATCTGCAAGTTCCCATTCCACCGGCTTCGTGGACAATTTAATTTCAGTTATTGCTGACACTCCCACTTTCCTGCCTCATGTATCCAGAACTGTGCAAAGGTCCTAGGAGTTTTGTAAAGAGCAGAACATTTAGAAAGAGCAGTCAGGTGTCCAAGACACACTGGTTACTACTGAGCTGCCCACCTTTCAAGTCTCCAGTGATTCCACACGTTCACTCAATCACTAACAAATATTAGTAAGCACCTACCACACTCCATGCTCTGTTCAAGGCACTGGAGATAAAACAAAGAAACAGGAAGATGAGACTGCCCCCTTCCCAGAGACTCCTAAGTTCCTTTCTCAGGCCAGGAACTCTCTGTGTGACTGACAGTTCAGGTGGCTCCCCTGCAGTCTCCCAGGCATGCAACATAGCCATTCCCTCCCTTTCCATTCCCCCTACCAGAAGCCTGGCTCCCTCTACAGGGCATCTCTCTTGCAATTTCTTCTTCCATACAAGCATCAGTCTTGGAAGCTCAGGCTTTCAGAAAAAAAAGGCAGGAACTTTAGTTAACACAAAACTCTGCTGAAACAAAGGAGTTCAAGGTACCTGACTACCATCTTGGAATGGAGAGTGAAGGGTGAGAATAGAGAGGAAGGGACAAATAACATCAACGAAAAGAAACAAACACACACACACACACACACACACACAAACACACCCTTGTTATACTTTCACATGTAAATGCCTGTTCCTAAAAAGCAATCAAGTTGTTTTCCTGTTGAACACCAAAACAAGACGTGATCTGAAAACGTTTTCATTTTTCCTGAATTAGACTTTGTACCAAACATTCACCACTGCCTTAAGGTATTATGCCTAGCACAGTACCTGACACATGACAGGCAAGATGGATGGATGGTTAAAATAACTCTTTTCTTTTTTATAAGCTGTACATCTAATATGGAGGATCTGAAAAAGCACTTGAGTATGGCCAGCCACTCTGAGACATCTTTAGAAGAGATGAGGATATACTTAGGGTATGCACACTAAAAGATAAAATACTGTAAATGTATTTCACAATGTAGAAGCATGGTGGCAAAATTCTTGCATCAAGATGTGAAAATATAATACAACTTTAAAAATGCAAAGTAGTTCATTTTTCCTAATCATTTTTATTTAATTTAGTATTTAGCAGAACAAGGATGAACATACAATTAAATATTGACTCTATCACATAGTAACCATATATCCTTGGGGAGCTATATTCAGTTTTTTCACCTTTAAAATGGAGAAAATCTTATCTATTATTACTTAGGGTTAAGATTGAAAAGAGATACTTTGGGAAAACACCATCATGGCCAGCCTACCCCAGACACTCAAGAAATGTTTGAAATACACACATGTAAGCATGCACATATGCACTTCTAGCTTGATCTTGAAGGTCTCATATATATATATATGTGTGTGTGTATATATATGTATGTATATATATGTATGTATGTATATGTATGTATACACACATATATACATGCATACATATATATATATATACTATATATAAATAGTCACAACATTTGAAGAAAAAAGTGAAAATTTTCCATCATCTTGTTAATCTTAACAAAAAGGAGAGGAATTATACTGATGTTCAGAATTCTGTATTCTTTTTTTTTTAATTATACTTTAAGTTCTGGGGTACATGTGCAGAACGTGCAGGTTTGTTACATAGGTATACACGTGCCATGGTGGTTTGCTGCACCTATCAACCCGTCATCTACATTAGGTATTTCTCCTAATGCTATCCCTCCTCTAGCCCCCCACCCCCCGACAGGACATGGATGACACTGGAAACCATCATTTTCAGCAAACTAACACAAGAACAGAAAACCAAACACCGCATGTTCTCACTTATAAGTGGGAGTTGAACAATGAGAACATATGGACACAGGGAGGGGAACATCACACACTGGGGCCAGTCGCAGAACTCCATATTCTTTACACACTTAACGATGGTCTCGCAAAGCTTTCCAGAAACGATAATCTAAGCTACAGTCCCTTAAAGTACCAAGCTACCTATTTTTATGCTTGGAGATTTCCATGAACTGGCTAAAAATTTCGATCATATTTGGAACCTAAATAGAGACTGAATGGCCCAAAATCTTTCCTTCCAGAAATGACCCAGCCTGTGTGGGCAGCTTCTCAAATCTAATTAGCACAAAACTTGTTTGCAACAAGAAAATAAATTAGTTCCAAAGCAATAGAAAATGCATAAACTTATAAAGGGCTGGATTTGCATTTTAAAGTCAAGTAACATTTCCTTTTTCTTCTGTTAAGTACTCATAAATTTATACTCCTCTACCTGTTCATAGAAAGATCACCCTTCTAAACTACAGAACAGTTAACATCAGATACACACGTCTTTACTAAGATCTGGTAATAAAAATTACTATAAAAATAGTACCTTACTAACCTTTAGTTCATTCTGATGCAAGTTCATTCTAGCCCCCACTCCTTAAATTTAAGTTCACCTCTAGCACTTGCATGGAAGCCAACTTTTATCATTTATTGAAAAAAAATTTGAACTCTTTGAGCACTGTACAACCTATCATCTTTCAAATCAAGTGAAGTAATTACATAATTTTATAACTTTCCATGAAAAGTTATTTTCTCTCCAATGTCTAATAATCTGATTTTTATTCTCTTGTGGAAATTTTTTCTCTTTTATTCATTAATGTAATATAAAGGGATTGTTCAACCGGAATAAATAGCTGATCCCCTTATATTCTCTGCTAAAAACATTTCTTTTAAAAGTAGCCTAATCTTCAGTTTCAGGATCCTTCACCTCAATGTGTTTAAATCCTGTACTGAGCACATTCATGAAGGAATTAAATGAAGGAACAAACAGCCATCATTGCAGTCTGGTCTCCATTATTATCATCTTCCCCTGTCATTTAATTTCTTCCACCCTCAGTTGTTCCATCTGTAAGGTGGAGGTAATAACTATCTCATAAGGTCAAGAGGACGGTATAATGATAAATGGGGATAACTAAAAAGCATAAAATTATTCATAAGAAAGTTAACAAGAAAATGCAATGTCCCTAGGCATGGGCAAGGACTTCATGACTAAAACATCAAAAGCAATGGCAACAAACGCCAAAATTGACAAATGGGATCTAATTAAACTAAAGAGCTTCTGCACAGCAAAAGAAACTACCATCAGAGTGAATAAGCAACCTACAGAATGGGACAAAATTTTCACAATCTACCCATCTGACAAAGGGCTAATATCCAGAATCTACAAAGAACTCAGATAAATTTACAAGAAAAAAAACAAACAACCCCATCAAAAAGTGGGCAAAGGATATGAACAGACACTTCTCAAAAGAAGACATTTATACAGCCAACAGACACATGAAAAAATGCTCATCATCACTGGCCATCAGAGAAATGCAAATCAAAACCACCATGAGATACCATCTAACACAAGTTAGAATGGCGATCATTAAAAAGCCAGGAAACAACAGATGCTGGAGAGGATGTGAAGAAATAGGAATGCTTTTACACTGTTGGTGGGAGTGTAAATTAGTTCAACAATTGTGGAAGACAGTGTAGTGATTCCTCAAGGAGGTAGAACTAGAAATACCATTTGACCCAGCAATCCCATTACTGAGCATATACCCAAAGGATTATAAATCATGCTACTATAAAGACACATGCACACGTATGTTTATTGCGGCACTATTCACAATAGCAAAGACTTGGAACCAACCCAAATGTCCATCAATGATAGACTGGATTTAAAAAATGTGGCACATATACACCATGGAATACTATGCAGCCATAAAAAAGGATGAGTTCATGTTCTTTGCAGGGGCATGGATGAAGCTGGAAACCATCACTCTCAGCAAATGATCACAAGGATAGAAAACCAAACACCGCATGTTCTCACTCATAGGTGGGAAATGAACAATGAGATGATTTGGACACAGGGCAGGGAACATCACACACCAGGGCCTGTCGTAGGGTGGGGGGCTGGGGGAGGGATAGCATTAGGAGACATATCTAATATAAATGACGAGTTGATGGGTGCAGCAAACCAACATGGCACATGTATACCTATGTATCAAACCTGTACGTTGTTCACACGTACCCTAGAACTTAAAGTATAATAATAAAAAAAGAAAAGAAAATGCAATGTCCCAAAACTAGAAGTAAGAAAAAATTGCAATGGTTGTTTATACAATGTTCTTCACATCAAAATCCCTCAAATCCAACATGAGATAAATTATTCGATATTAAGAGGAGCTTCATCATCTAGAATTAGAGCTCTGATAATGAAATATCAATGGTAATGACTTAGTATGAGACACCGCATCACCCATCCTCAATGCTAAATATTTAACTTGAGTAAATGTGTTGATTCTGATAAAATTCTGAGTGAAAGCTATAAAACAGAAATAAAATACTCGAAGAAGAGCAAACCTTGATTACTCAAAATGCTTAGAAAATGAGGGTTCACTTCTGGCATGCAGTCCATCATCAATGACTCCAGATACTCATTTTGGAGAAGAAGTTCCTGATTTCACCTTGCTCCACTAACATTTCCCTCTTATTACTTCCATTTGAGCAGAGGAATTGTATTTTGTTTTCTTAAAGGTTTTTCTTTGATTATGATTAATCAAGAAATCTAAAAATTTACAATACTCCAAGGTTTACTAAATATTATTACATGAAATACAATATACAGAATTGATCATTCCGTTATAGCTTTTTCAAAAATTCCACTATTATGTGATTTAATCTCACAAATTAAACCTCTTTCACTATCTCTTCTAGTTTCAAAATTATTTTGCACAGTATCTCTTTCAAGACATCATTTTGTTAATATTTTTTAAAGCTTGACATCTAAGGTTTCTAGTTTATTACCCCTCCCAAGTATTATAATAGCTTCTTCTCTCACGGCGAATTTAAAATTTGAGTGAAACTTACTTTCTTGTATTGCATTAAGAATCTCTGAAAAGTCCACATCACTCTTTGGCCCGTCAGGTAGTATTTGCATATCCAGCTGGTAGCCTTGCAAATCCACACCTCCTTCTAGAGAAATGAAAGATATTCATGGAGTTTGCACTGGTTATCAGAGAGTCTGTCATTAGGGTCCCAAGGAGAAGCTATGTCAAAATCCAAAGTGAATGGCTAGCTGGTTTGCCAATGATCCTCCTTCTTAGACAAAGGACTTAAGAAAAAAAAAAAAAGGAACATATACAAGCCATTTGCATTTTATGGGACCAAAAAGGTTCACTTGTATTTCCAATGCAAAATAAGGCAACTACTTTTTTATAAGGAAACACACTTCATAGTATTTACTGATAATTCCCTACGTAAAAAATATAACATAGCCTCTACCTAAGGATATTTAAAATTATTTTCAGCTTCCACATGGATTAAATGTGACATTAACACAAACACTTTATGATATCATCTTCTTCTTATAATAATTCATTCTTAAGGATGGATTTAATATTCTTGATATTACGGAAACAAGGTATTAATACTTAGGTCCCTCATAATTAGACCTCCCCGATTCATCATTTATTTTTCAACTGTATCCGAATTTGAAAATTTATTCTATGAAGTAATTAAGCCTCTTGTTCTAGGTTTGTCTGATGTATTTTTGGCATGTTCTAAAGAAAGAAAGTTTTTATGCTGCTCCATACACCTATAGAACATTTAAGGAAGTCAAAGAAACCAAGGTATCAAAAAGTAGCTTTATCACGAACAATAAACCTTCCAAACCTTCTAAAAGCTTCTTAAAGTAATCAGTAAGAACGTCTCCGATTTGAGGAGTCTGCCAGGGCTAAAAAGCCAATGCTAAAATAAACAGCCTGATGCATAAAATGGAACATGCCCTAGCTTCCAGTATTTTGTAGAAATTCTGTAGAAATCTCATAAGCTTAGGAGGTATACTCAGCCTTATACAAAATTTCGGTTACGTTCCTAAAGCTCAAGAATAAGATAACTCATAGCCTCACAGGAACGCTTATTCTAGGAGTAAAACACCTGAAGGTAACTTAATATTCTATTATATTTAATAGAAAATAAGCCTTGGGAGGGCAGGGACTTTGCCTGCATGCTATAACCCAAGCACTTAGAACAGGAGCTGGCATGAAGTAGATTCTCAACAAAGTAGATTCTCAGGCTGAATGAATGAATGAGGCTATGCAGTAATTATAAAACCAAAACAACAGAGCTAAGAGCAAAGCTACAAGCTCAGATTCTGGAGTCTGAGAGACCAACGTTGAAATTCTTATTAGATAATGCTGAACCTCTCTAAATTTTAGTTTCCTCCTTTGTGAAATAGGGATGATGATAACAGACTCACAGAGCAGCCACTAGGATTAAATGAGATAATGCACAAAAACCTTAGTTGTCACGTAGTCAGCACTCAGTAAATAGCAGCTACAGGTATTACTATGATCATCCATAATAATTTATTAAAGCAACACTGGCATTTATATAGAGACAGACTAGGTATTGAACAATGTGAATAACGAAAAGGAAGTCCTAAGTCCTTTCCTTGAGACCCCAGGTATGCATTTCGGTCACTGTCAAGAACTGCTATTTAACATTCCAGCCACAGCAGTGAACTTTTCAGATGCACTAATGCAGCTGCCTCATTGCAAAGTCTGAAGCTACTTATGAGAGTTTCTTAGACAGGACAGACAAAGACGCCTTCCTGCTGGTCCAGAATTAAAATGGGTTATTTGCTTTTTTCTTCCATGGCCAGTTACTTCTAATGGGTAAAGAAAAGTTCTGATGCTTTTCAATCTCAACTAAGGCTAGTCAGCTTTGTTCTATTTGATGGCCAAAGACCTCATAATTACAACAATGACAGAAAAATAACAAAAATATTCAATTATCAGCCTGGCTCTGGGCTATGTACTTTATGATATCATTTAGGCTTTAATCTTGAAAAGAAGGTGCGATGCAATGGAGTAATTTGCCCAAAGTCACACAGCTATTGAGGTGTAAATATGTAATCACAATCCATGCTCTTCACTAGTCTTTAAAATCACCCATATCCAAGCAGTCACAAACACAGGCTATTGGAGATAAGAGAACTGGATTTGCCAAATAAATCCAACATAACCCAGTAAAATGATCCTGTGTTCTAATACTTCAGATCAAGACAAAACACATTACATAAGCTAAAAAACAAGTGACTTCCTAAATAGACTAATAAATAGAAGCCCAATTTATTTATTTGTTATTTGTCATAAGCAGGGGCTCATAAACTCAGGTAGAAGTAGCTATGACTACTAGATAACTAGAATTTTTAATAACAAAGATTCCAAAAACCTTTAATAATTTTTTTAAATGTGAGAGGGCAGTATAGAAGTATAAGACACAAAAGAAGCACCATAAAGGAAGCATACAGGCCATTAAATTCTGTCTTCAAAGAATACTTAATGATGTGGGAAAATGCTCGTTTATAATGAAAAGGTGAGGAAAACCAATACAAGAATATAGACAGATAGATTAGATAGATAGATAGATAGATAGATAGATAGATAGATAGATAGATACATACATACACACATACATACATACATACATACACACACACACACACACACACACACACACACACAGAGACATGTCCCAAGTACAGTCATGTCTCACTTAAGGATGGGATACTTTCTGAGAAATGCATTGGTAGATATCATCATTGTGCAAAGATCATACAGTGTACTTACACAAACATAGTTGGTATAGCCTACCACACACCTAGGTTACATGGTGCAGCCTATTGCTCCTAAGCTACAAACCTGTACAGCATGTTACTGCACTGAATACTGTAGTAACTGTAATACAATGGTATTTGAATACCTAAACAAAGAAAGGGTACAGTAAAAATCGAGTATAAAAGATAAAAAATGGTCTCTCTGTATAGGGCATTTACCATGAATGGAGCTTGCAGGAATGAAAGTTGCTCTGAATGAGTCATTGAGTGGTGAGTGAATGTGAAGGCCTAAAATACTATTGCACATTGGTAGACTTTATAAACACTGTATACTTACGCCACATTAAATTTATTTAAAAATGTTTCTTTCTTCAATAATAAATTTATCTTATGGTAAGTTTTTACTTTGTAACCTTTTAGATTTTTTTTAACTTTTGACTGTTTTGTGATAACACTAAGCCTAAAACAAAAACACATTTTATAGCTCCATAAAAATATTTTCTTTCTTTATATCCATATTCTATAAGCATTTTTCTATGTTTTAAATTTAAAAACTTTTTTAAAACTTTTTTTGTAAAAAATGAGGATACAAACACACACATTAGCCTAGGCCTATACAAGGTCAGGATTATCAATGTCACTTATTCCACTGGAAGGTCTTAGGGGCAATAACATGAATGGAGCTCTCACCTCCCATGATATAAATGCTCTCTTCTGGAATACCTCCTAAAAGACCTGCCTGAGGCTATCTTAAAGTTAACTTTTTTTTTTAATCAGTAAAAGGAGTAAACTTTAAAACAACAATAAAAGGTAGAGTATATAAGCCAGTAACATAGTAGTTTAATTGTCAAGTATTATATACTGTAAATAACTGTATGTGCTATATTTTTATACAACTGGCAGCACAGTAGGTTTGTTTACACCGGCATCACCACAAACACGTGAGTAATGTATTGCACTATGACATTACAACACCTGCAACATCACTAGGCGATAGGAATTTTTCAGCTCCATTATAATCTTAATGGGACCACCATGGTTTATGTGGTCCATCACTGATGAAAAAGTCATCATGCGGTGCATGACTGCATATTAAAAAACATACCCATTTATATGACTAGAAAAATATAACAGGAAGAAAATACTCAAAATAGGTACAGAAGTTATCCCTCAGCTGTGAAATGATGGGTAGATTTTGTTTTATACTTTATCTTTTTTATGTTTTTCACAATAAGAATAAAAATATTTTTTTGAGAGAAAGTCTCACTTTGCCACCTAGGCTGGAGTGCAGTGGTGCGAACACAGCTTACTGCAACCTCAACCTCCTAGGCTCAAGCAATTCTCCCACCTCACCTCTCAAGTAGCCAAGGGCTACAGGTGCGCACCACCATGCCTGGCTAATTTGTGTATTTTGTATAGAGAAAGGGTATTTCCATGTTTCACAGGCTGATTTTAAACTCTTGACCACAAGTGATCTGCCTGCCTCAGCCTTCCAAAGTGCTGGGATTATAGGCGTGAGCCATTGCAACTGCCCTTAGCACAAAACACTTTTATAACTTTAAAGACATGTAAAAATTCAAGAGTGGGATTGTGGAGATTAATAATTATTTGGAGTTCAGGATTTAAGACTGAAAATAAAGACTGCAGATATTAAACCATAGATGTGAAATATCCAATTTAATATAACAGATTTTCTAAATTCATGTAATTTTTTAAAATGTATAAACCAAACAGCTTCAAAATGCAACATTCTCTTCATGCTAAACATTATGATCACACATAGAGTCCCCCAAATATAAGATATTTTTCTGTCTCTGCTCTAGAAGAAATACAGAATACTCTTTCATAGAGTATAATGTAATGGTCTGGAACTTCTGACAATAAGCCGTTCATTAAGTCTAACACTACAAAGGAGAGGGAGCTGTAAAACAAGGACTTTTGTAAGCTTTCCTAAATGGAGAGTGATCAGTGTACCAATGAATCTTCAAAGATGACAATCTCCACCTTTAACTTATAGTGCCCAAGTGAGAGAGATTAAATGACTTCAATGTAAAAAATGTACTATGCCTACTTCGTACTACTGATTTTATTTATTTATTGTTATTCATATAGCTTTTTGTTATAATTTCTAAAAACCTAAGAATCTGAGTTCTTTGCCATAGCCACAGATATCTTGGCCTTTGGATCAGAACACAAAGACTTGAAAAACTAGGCAAGATGGTAAAGATACTATAGATTCAAACTGAAGATTCTTTAAAATACAGCCCCACTGGGCATCAGTAATTAACATGCAATTAAGTACAATCCTAAGGAAACTAAACAAATAAATTAAAGAGGGAAGCTAAGAAGATCCCTAAATATGTGGAAACACATTGACCAATTAAAAAAAAATCAAGAATAGCTACAAAATCCATGTGATCTCCATTTTGTCTTTAAGTTTCCCCACATTTTATGGACAGAAGTTATACTCAATACTTAATTGTGATTCTGTAACTTTGGTAACAGCATTTACATTTAATAAAAAGTCTTTAGCTGGACAAGCAATATTTTTAAAATTCATTCTGTACCTAGCTTACAGCTAGGCTTTTTTTTTTTTTTAAGACAGTCACACTCTGTCACCCAGACTGGAGTTCAATGATGCAATCGCAGCTCACTGCAGCCTCAACTTCCAGGGCATCAAAGCACTTTTATACAAGAGAAACAGCAACAAAAAAATGAGTTTCAAACATAAGTTTCTTGATTAGCAAATATGTCAATGCCTTCCCATCCATTCTTTGTCCATAGAAATCCCTTCTTGCTTTCAAGGCCCACCTAGAATTCTCTGCTTCAGGAAGCATTTCTTGATCCTGATAAGTAAAAACCATTTTTCTATCCACTGAACTCACATAGCTCTTTATATTTTGTCTTTTCTATAGTATATGTTTTCTATGAAAAATGAGTCAGAGTACCTAGCACAGTATGAAGCAGACAAAGAAAATGTTTAAGTTCCTAGTTTTTCCATATCTAGATTTCTTCCTCATTGAGAGCACCTTCAACTAGACAGTAACACATTGAAGCCTGGGATCAAACTGTATCCCCCTTTTATCTCCTATAAAACCTAGAACAAGGCCTTGAACATATTAGATGCTCAGTTAATGCTCTTTCACTGCAATTTCACATTATGAATAACAATAATGAATATAAACTAAGAAGACGCTCTGATTTTTTTTTAGTCTACAATTTAAAGCATCTTGATAGGTTATCAGTAGATTACTGTGAAAGACATATTATAGATCATAACTTTTTGATTTTTAGTAAAATCTTGTTAAATTTTATCAAATAATAAACAAAATATCAAAGTACCAAAGGGCTTACAATAAAAATCAATAGCTACCCTTTTTGCAATCTCTGTCCTCTTCCTCAGTGGAAAAAGGACTTTTAAGAGTCTCTGTTGGATCCTTCTATGTGTGTGTCCCATTGTTTCATGATTTTCCAATTTTATATACTATATATGGTTTTTCTGCTGTGACACATAACAATGTAAAAGTTACATTACTACCACTTTCCACTTGCCCTCCACTCACTCACCAAATCACTATTCTTAGTAATTTCATTAGATTGCCTTAGTTTAGTTACTTTAAATAAATCACTTAAAATTCCTTTCCTTGTTCAATCAATTATAGACATATGTCATATATGTAAATTAACACAAGTGATTGAAAAAGGAGATACTGGCACTAAACTAACCTGGATTTGAATGCTACTTTTATGTGACCTTGACTCATTAAATAATAATAAGCCTTATCTTTCTCATTGAAAAAATGGGAAACTAAAATTTTTTGGAGGCTGTAGTACAAATTATAGACATTATACATAAATAATTTGGCCCATCATGTTAGATCTAGGTGCTTCACTACAAATTTTATATATTCATTCTCTGCAAAATGAGGGCCTACTCCAGGTTTGGGGCCTAGGCTAAGTAAAAACAATTCCACTTTAAAAATCTTGTAACCTGGGACTTGGAATAGTTACTTCATATTGAAACCAAAATAAAGGAAAGCCTGACAAATCAGCTCTTACCCTCCCCATGTCACAGAAAAGATGGGGAGTGTGTAAAACAGACTTAAGAGGACAAATGATATTTTCTATGATAGCCTCATAATAACTGTTGCTAGAGCTGAGCTTCTGTCTACATTCTATTTATATTCTACAAATATTTTTATTTGGTAGTTCCTGTCCTGAGAGGTATACTTAATACAAATTCTCAAACACAGCATTTTTTATAGAATAGGTAGCAGTGATATTTCAAAACTTGAGCTACATATCTAAAATAAATCCTCACATGTAATATTTTTGGACTTAAGAGGCACCAAAGAACCCATTTTCTAAACTGGGAGTTTTGTATTGAACTCCCCATAGGTGAATTCTGTGTTCCTAAGACAGTACTGAGATGGAGAATGGTGTTAAGAAAGAAGGGAAGGCTGGGTGTGGTGGCTCACACCTGTAACCCCAGAGCTGCAGGAGGCTGAGCCAGGAGGACTGCTTGAGACCAGAAGTTCAAGACCTACCTGAGCAATATAGCAAGACCTCCATCTCTAAAAAAAAATATAAAATAAAATTAGCTGGGCATATTGGTGCATACCTGTAATCACGTCTACTTGGGAGACTAAAGCGGAAGGATCACTTGAGCCCAGGAGTTTGAGGCTGAAGTGAGCTATGATCATGCCACTGCACTCCAGCCTGGGCAACAGAGTCCTTGTATCTTAAAAAAATAAAAATAAAAAAGAAGGGAGGGAGGTCCATTCTGTCTTTACAGACTTTCCTGGCATCAGCCAGTGTTCAAGAAAAGTCTCTGAAGAAGAGAGAAAGGAAATGAATTCAGCTCTTCTGGAGAATATGAAATTGGAAACCATAGATTTACATGTAGGAAATGCTACTGGTTCTGAAAAAAAAAGTTCCATCTTGTTTTTTTAACATTATTTGTAGCACTTACCAAAATCCTTTTTTTGTGTGTGGCATAAACTAAAAAAGCTTCACAATAGAAGATGCTTCATACGTGCAAAAAATATTCATGTCATTTTATTAGTATTGTGTAAAACCATAAATCTTATGATGTTGTAAGTTCATTCTTTTACAGAAGAAAGCTTGGCTCATATTAGCAGGAATAAACATATTGATTCACTCACACTAGTCACTATAAGGCTAAAGCTATTCCCTCAAATGATTAATGCTGAGTAGTCCTAATGGCCAAGTTCTTTACTGGGTCCTGATGGGAGAACCACATTTGGCTAACAGCAGGCAGATATTTCTCAGGTCTAAAATGGAAATAATAATTCTACTGCATCGGCCAGTAATGGCTCTCCTTCAGCAGAATTGCTTCTATGTTTTCCAGGATTGGTAAGATCATGATCTCCTAAGTTATAATGCATCCCTGCACTAAAAGTTCCCTAGAGGGCCTGGAAGTCAGAATTGCAAAGCTTCAAATAGCAAGAAGGATTTGTGAATCACATAGGCAGAATTCTGTGGTGTCTTCCAATCTCCTAGATGCTGAGGTCTGTTGTGATGACGAGGGCTCTTGCAGATGAGGAGAAGAGACAAACTCAGGATTAGGAGGCGTTACAGAACAGAAACTGTGCAATTTTCAGCCTCACTAAATGTTGTTTACCCTTTTGTCTTGAATAAGTCTTTATACATGAAGGGCTTGAGATAAATATGAGAAGGAATATTGCCCTTGCGAAATGACAATCCTCAAAAAAGCTAGGACTCTGCCCCTCTTGTGCATCGGCCTGTCAGCTCAAACTCAGACAATCAAGCAAAATAAAAGCTCACTATTAACTGACTATCCACCATGGCTAAGGGCTTAGACTTTTAAATCTCAGCTCTACTAGTTATAGTTGTATAATCCTGAGCTAAATGGTTAAAGCATCCCGCCCTATCTTCAGCGGATACATTCCAAGACCCCCAGTGGATATCTGAAACTGTGGATAGTACTGAACCCTATATATATGCTTTTTTTCCTATACATACATACCTATGATAAAACTTAATTTCTAAATTAGGAACAATAAGAGATTGATAACAATAACTAATAACAAAATAGAACAATTATAACAATAATGATAGAGCAATTTCTGTCTTTCTCTCAGAATTCTTATTGTAACTGAAACGATGAAAAACAAAGCTATGGATAAGGGGCACATTGCTGTACTTAAATCTCTTCAAGCTTCTAAAATATAAAATTATTTTAAATAGCCTCAGGCAGAAGAAGCAGTTTTAAATTCCACAAAACGCAATGCTCTTTTCCAGAAATTAACCATTTGCTTTTCTTTGTGGCTGCCTTTTTATGGCTCTTCTTCATTCACTTTCTGTGCTCAAAAGGTTGTAAAATGATTTTTCAGAAAATTCCCTCTAAATGCATCCTATAGATCAAAATGTGTGTGTATATGTCCCTCAGTAAAATGAAAAGCAAATGCAAATAAGAGAAGAATGTGGTATATATTTTTAGAAAAAAAATAATGTTGTTACTCAGCAAATGATAGCAAGGAACACAGATACCAATGCCCACATTTGCCAAGGACCAAAATAGCTTGTTTTCCTAAGCACCCCCACCTATTGACTAAACTCACATCACACATCTAAAAAAACCCACTTAAAGAGGAAGAGATTCAAATGAAGGATAATTACAGTGTTATTTCTAAACCACAGCACTAACTGTTCTGAAAGGCACCACATTCACCTTCAATGCAATGAGAAATAAAACAGAAGTCCAAAGTAGCCCTTGTCGCTTTTTCCATACAATTTTATCTTCCAGCCACCCCAAAAATCCATTCACAAATAGGAAGACTGATTATCTCATCCACGCTTCAGTTCTGTTCAAGAGAACAGCCAGGTTCCTTAGATCCTATAAGCAAACCTCAGCCACACTTCTCAATAAAGTGTCTATTTTCAGAAAAGGGGATAGAAAGCCCCCAAAATTTCACTCTTAACTAATGCTCATCTTCAAGATAAAAAGTTGACACCGTGGAAAAAACACCCATAATAAGTTTTGTTTTTTTGTTTTTTTTTTGAGACGGAGTCTCGCTCTGTCACCCAGGCTGGAGTGCAGTGGCACAATCTCAGCTCACTGCCACCTCTGTCTCCCGGATTCAAGCGATTCTCCTGCTTCAGCTTTTTTTTTTTTTTCTTTTTTCTTTTTTTTTTTTTTTTTGACAGAGTCCTGCTCTGTTACCTGGGCTGGAGTGCAGTGGCATGATCTTGGCTCACTGCAACCTCTACCTCCCAGGTTCAAGCGATTCTCCTGCCTCAGCCTCCCTAGTAGCTGGGATTACAAGCCTGCACTACAATGTCTGGTTAATTTATGTATTTTTAGTAGAGACGGATTTCCCCATGTTGGCCAGGCTGGTCTCGAACTCCTGACCTCAGGTGATCCGCCCACCTCAGCCTCCCAAAGTGCTAGGATTACGTATATGAGCCACCGCGCCCGGCCACATAAGAAATTAAATACCTGGGTTTTAGTTGGGGTCTGTCAATTGCTAATTTTGTACTTTTGAGCTAGTAACTTCACTTCCTATGCCATAGTAAAATAGGCATAATTCCACCTCACAGACTGCTATGAGGACTAAATGAAATGCAGGAGAAAAATTTGTGAAAGCCCTTTGGAAACAACAGAATATCAAGTAAATGTAGGGTTGCAGTATTATGATCGTTATTCTAAAGATTGGTCATATATTTATCTTTTCCTTATTTTTGTTTCCCTAAAGCATAAGTTTATCCTGACTCTTGGCAGAACTAGGAACAAGTCTTTCTTGACTGTCCTTCTTCTTTTAAAAGTCTCTCCTTAATAATCCTCTCCTCTCCCTCTCCCCACATCTTCTGGTACTGCTCTTTAAAGGGAGAAACAGAAGACAGTCTGTTCCCTAATTTGAGACCAGGCCTTGACATTGGTTCCAGAAAGAAATCTTTGAAACTCAGGGAAATAGGAATGAATTTTATTATATCAGAACCCAAAAAATGGAGGATGAAAAACAAAAGTCCAGAGCATAGTAGACCAGAAAGAGAAGCTACAAAGTGGACATCACTTACACTGAAGGAAATAATAAACTTTGAAGACGATTACACAAGCAATCAACAGAACCTAACTGGTCCCTTCTTTAGTATGGTTTTCTTACGCTAAGGTTTGAGCTACTGCAGGGCTTTTAATTTAAATTTTCTAAGGCTTTTTTATGATAATTTGCTAGAAATGTTTCTGCCAAGTTGTGTGAAGAAGAAAGTAATAGCACATTAAATAAGAGAATAAGAATACCTGAGCTAGAATCTTGCCTTCACCATTTACTGGCTGTATAACCTTAGGCAAGGTACTTACCCTTCTTCATGCCTTAGTTTCCCCACCCATCAAATAAGGAAAATAGCATGAGAATATTATGGGAATTAAATGAGATAATGAATGAAAACAGTTGAACAGTTTTTGAGGTTGGGAATATGGTAGAGGGCTTAATATATTGTAGCTATAATTTTATTATTATCAAACTATGCATTTAATGCCTAAGTATACAGACAGTACTAATCATTCTAGCTGTTTGGAAACAAGAAAATCCTAATGTTTCTCTCCTGGAAAATCAATTATGTCCTAGCATTTAAATACTAGATAGATTCTTAGGGAACAATAATCATGCATAAATGTGGAAAGGGCCATAGGTTTTAAAAAGTGAGATAAAAGAACCTGTATTAGAAATTACTTGGGAATAACACATATCGGCAAAACATTATTTTACAAATTCTAAATGAGACTAAAGGACATATTCTGTGATTAATGACACTTCTCTAGGATTGTATGATGGGTCTAACAGATAAGGAAAAAGCAATAGAAGAAGTATTTTAGATTTCAGAAAGCTTCCAATTCTATTTTATATGGCATAGTCATTAGCTGGGATAATTTGATCTATATCCACTAAGCTTTATAGTTTCAAACTCAAAAAAATCAAAATCAGTGCTTCAGTTTACTATGCTCTTGAGTCTTAAATTATAGTCCCAAACCTAGTACCATTTACCACTTATATTTTTGGTCCATAAAGGAAGCAGAAAATAATATTCATTAATTATGAGTGTCTAAAGGATAAGGTCAAAATGAAATTGATAAACAGGAGAAAGAATTGAAACAATCAGAAGGAAAGAGAAACCATACAAATACAAGATGAAGATGAATGGTTTCTGTATTTATACAGCATAATGAGAGACCATCTTATTGGTATTCTAGCACAAGTTAACTGGGAAACTGCTAAATGAAGTGGTAACTGAGATAACAAGGATTCTGAGGCATAGGTACTTTCAGGGTTCTGAATTTTGCTTATCATGTTGGTGACAAGAAAAATGATTTCTTTATTTATCAACCATTTATTACTGAACACCAAGTATGTGCCAAAAATCAAACTGGACATTCTACACCAATTATTTAATTGCCATAACAAGGCTATGTAGGATTGCCAGACATAATACATTACAATACAGGATGTCCTGCTAAATCTGAATTTCAAACGATATAATTTTTTATTATGTGTGTCGTATGCAATATTTAGGAATTTTCAAATATTTGAATTTCAAATATTTGAATTAGGAATATTCAAATATTCAAAAATTCAAACAAGTATTTCAAAAATACTTGTTTATCTGAAATTTAAATTTAATTGGGAACATTGTATTTAATTTGGCAGCCCTAATACTATAAGGTAGGTATTAATTTCCTCATTTTACTGATGTAGAAACTAAGATTCAGAGAAATTAAGTAATTTGTCTAAGGCTGTAATAGCCATCAGGTGACATATCTAGCTTTTAAACACCTAACGATAAAGCTTGCTTTCAGAACCAGTGTAATGCACCGTTCCTATCATTATGCTCTTTCCTGCATCTGAATGGTCATGCCTCTTCCTTCTGTTGAAATCCTAGTTGACCTTCAAAGTCAAATTGGTAGACCATATGTGTTTTGAGTCTTTCTAAATTCTCTTCAGCATAATAAGGTTATGCTGCCATAACCTTATTTATTTCTGTGTTCCAGCCCTTAATACAGTTTGACTTCTATCACAGCAGCTTAAGCACATGTCCCTGTAGTGGGCATTCTTCCACATAAAGTTGTTTCCTAACATCACCTCTATTTCCTTTTGGGGAAGTCCTTCTCCCTCGCTGTGTGTAGTCAAGGTAGCAGAAGAAATCAAGGAGTCCTACCCTCCCACTATGAAGGCTGAAGAGAGAGGTCTTCTGTCCTATCATTTGTCTCAGCACTGTCTGTCCAACCAAAGGAAAGGTGCATAGCCAATAGAACTGTCCTCCTAAATCTTCAAAACGTGAGCCAAATGATGCAAAACTAGAAAAACCGGTAAGAATTCAATCATTCCAGATAGTCAAATAGAAGATATTCTATTCTAATCAAATAGCTATTCTTGATTTCTCGATTCCTTTTCCAAGGCTGGCTCTTTAGGTTTTCCATCCACATTCTTCAAATTTAAATTCCTTCTTTGTTTGGACTAAATGATTAGTTTCTCTTGTTGGTAACAAAGAACCCTGACTGATTGTCTCTCTTGGACATGACTGAGTGCCTTAAGACCCATGTTTAATAGAGTTCTGCACCATTTCAAAATACTCCAAGGAGGGCAAATTCCCAATAAATCCTTGTTAGTAAATAGTAGGCCCTCATAAAAGTTTGTAAACTCAAAGGAGGATAAACATACTGAAATTGTTCAGGCAGATGGAACAGAAAATCTACAAGACTCCCAAATTCTCTTTTTGTTCTTAGTAACCAATCCGAGTGGGCCTTAGAGAACACTTCGGGAACAGGGATTATTAACTTTGTAAAAAATAGATGGATGACTTAATAGGCCTCAATATGACTAAATTGTCCAAGCTGCTACTAAGATCTATGACTCACTGCACTTAAGAAACTCAGTTTGAGAGCTCTTCCATAATTTCCCAACAGAGAACTATGATGCATTTGTCCAAGTACACTAAAAATAAAGAGAATGGAACTGAAATCATATTCTACCTTGCCAGAATAATATGAGTTTTAAAAATACTTTTTTTAAATAACAAGTTTCTAATTGTAACTTAATATATTTTTTTCTTAATTATAATTCTAGGCTAGAGGATTGGCTTTATTTATATTTTCAACCAATACTCGACATATGTAGGGTTTAAGGATCTATGATAAAATGATGGGTAGATAAGTAAAGTGATGTTTTTTTGTTTTGTTTTGTTTTTGTTTTTTTGAGACAGAGTTTTGCTCGTTGCCCAGGCTGCAGTGCAGCGGCGCAATCTTGGCACACCGCAACCTCCGCCTCCCGAGTTCAAGTGATTCTCCTGCCTCAGCCTCCTGAGTAGCTGGGATTACAGGCATGCACCACCACGTCCGGCTAATTTTGTATTTTTAGTAGAGAGAGGGTTTCTCCACCTGGTCTTGAACTCCTGACCTCAGCTGATCCACCCGCCTCGGCCTCCCAAAGTGCTGGGATTACAGGCGTGAGCCACCGTACTCATCCAAGTGATGTGTTTTTAAGGTGAGGGAAGAGACTTGAAATATTAACTCACAATGTGGGCTGAATTAGCCCATGTTGATAAAACACCATTAGGAATATCTTAATAACATTCATTTAATTGTATTATAGTAATATCAACACAGGATATCAATTAAAGGAAAGGACAGACTGAATCTACACTGCCTGCGTTTGACTTTAATGGAATACTCAATTCTGGGCACTGCATTTTCAAAGAGATAGCAATGAAATAAGAATGTTTCTAAGAGTGGAGAGGGTACAAAGGTAAAGAAGTTGAGTATCATGTCATTCAAGGAAGCACTGAAGACACTAGGAAATGTTTCACCTGGAAAATAGCTAGGGATGAGTTTCTTAAACAACTGAAGGATTGTCATATGAAAGAAGAGTTAAGATTTACGCCATATAACTTCAGAATGCTAACCTATATCTGCTGAGTAGAACAGATTTTGACAAACAACATAAAATCATTTATTAAGAACCTACTAGGGACAACGCATGATGTTAGGAGTGACGGAAGATACAAAGATGAATTGAGGAGAGTTCCTGCCTTCTGGGAGAACTATAAGACCATAGAAACAGATGGACTTTGATAAGGCTTCTAAGTTCTGTGGAAGCACGGGGAAGTAGGGGAATAATTCTGACTATAAGATCTAGAAAGCTTCTTGGAGGAAGCGGAATTTGAGTTACATTTTGAGGAATGAGAAGGGCTAGTAGACATTTATTAGGGGAAGGGATATTCCAAGATGAGAGAGGAGCTTGAGCAATGGCAAAGAAAATGGAAGAGTAAAAGCCTGCTTGAGAAATACTAAAAAGCCTGTGGATGCCTGAAGCTGAATAACATGGATAATGACAGTGTAAAATGAGATAAGCCTGGAAAAGTAGGGAGAGGCTAAATTGGAGAGGACTTGAAAAGGTGGGCTCACAAGGCTGCACTTTCTTCGGGATAGCCATAACAATTTTAAGAAGAGGAAGGCTGATGCTAATTATCCTCTCTGGAGGAGAACCTTGGTGTCTGAGAGAACCACTGAAGACAATTGTCCAACATCTAAAACCTTCCACTGGGCTCTCCAGAATTCTCTGAATGTCGTCAATCTCTTCTCAGATTGCCCCATTCACCTTGCTCTAAGGAAAACCTGGATCTTCCCAGTGGTCATGCTTCCCTGTGGCTCTTTCACTTAGAACTGTTTTTCTCCAATAGCCCTGGCACCAACGCATCTGAAAGAGGAGTAGATACCTTTCTTGAGTCTCAAATCCACCTTCAGACCATTCTTCTTCCCTCTTCCCCAAACACCTTCAGCCTTGAATCTCAAGTTGTTATACTACATCATCTTCTACCCTTTATCTTTGTACTCTCCTGCTACCTGCCAGATCATGTTCCCTTATTTCTCAGTAAAGTTAATGCCTGGCTTATCATTCTTCCCAAAGCTACTCAATTCTTGACTCAATCATTTTCACATCTTGGCCTCTCAGTCCCTAGGAATTTTTTCATTCAATGATCTTGCCTTCTACCCTTTATAGTCCCTTGTTTTGTACCTTGGCCTAAACCTTGTCATTACCAGTAACAGCATCTTGTGTTGATATTACTATAATAAAATTAAATAAATGTTATTAAGATATGTGCCACAATATTAGTGCCACACATTCCATTCTCTTACCACCTCTCTTATCCTTCCAGATCCTCCTTCTATTACCCTAACCCCCACAATTTTTTGAACCCTCTGGGAATTTCAACCGATTGATCTTACCAACTTTTCACTGTACCTCCTTCCCTTGATGTCTTGTACCCTCTTTACCAAATCACAAAATGAATCACTATCATCACTCCCTTCCATGCACTTTTGATTCCCTTTCTCTCTTTCCTACTTCCTTTGCAAAACCACACTGCTGTTCAAATCCAACTCACCACCAACTGTATGTCTTTACTCATGTAGCTACACAAAATTAAAAACTACACAATGATGATAACTAGTCCTACTTTAGTTTCATGACTATGAATCTCAAATCCCTTTTAATGTGAGTTGGCAAACATATTTCCCCTCTCCATATCTTTCTTTCTCTCTCTCTTTCTCCCTGTGGCTCCATTCTCATTCTCAGAGATGACCTTGCTTCTCACATTAAAGATAAAGCTGACAACATAGGAAAAGAACTTATTAGACCCTCAGCACACCTGCCATTATATACATACGCCTCCTTCCCACCAGTTATCACAGATAAACTATCCATGGTCCTATTGTGCATAGCTCTCATCCTCTCACTGATGCCCACATCACAAATTCTCCCCTCTCTTGAACACCATAAATTATCTGCTGGAGAGCTGCTATTTTTAAAAGAAACTCTTGACCTTACTTCTCCTCCAGCTGCTGCCCTATTTCTTCACTACACTTCATAGCAAAACTGCTCAAAAAAGTTGCCCATATTCAGAGCATCTAATTTATATCCTCTCATCTCCCTTAAATCCACTTCAATCAGGGTTTCATCCCCACCACTCCACTAAAACGGCTCTTATCAAAATCACCATTGACCTCCACTTTACTAAAATCGACTAATTCTCAGTCCTCATCTTATTTGACTTTCAATAACATTTAGCCTAGAAAACCATTCTTCTCTTCTTGATAAACTTTTGTAATTTCTGAGATGTGGCACTTCTGGGTTTTCTCCATCTTTGCTGGTGCTTCTTTCCTGGCCTTCTTGCTCGTGGTTCATGTCCTCTTTGACCCTTTATTATTGGAGTGTCCCAGATCTCAGCCCTTGATGCTCTCCCTTCCCCATTTATACTTCTTCCCTTGGTCATCTCTTGCAATCTCATTTCTTTAAATAGCACTTATATGTCAACAACTATTAGTTTTATATCTCTTTCACAGACCAATCATCTTTCAAACTCCAGACATGGAGCTCAAACTACCACCCACAAGATCTTGCCAGCTCTCAATATTATCACATCTATAATCAAACTTCTGAACTCAGCCCCACCTTTGCCCTCAAACCCACCAAATCTGCTTCTCTTGCAGCCTTCTCCATCTCAGCTGATTTCACTCAGGCCAAAAAAACTTTTCAGTCATCCTTTGCTCTTCTTTCTCTTTTACCCTACATCCAATCCATTAGGATATTTTGTTGGCCCAGCTTTAAAATATATCCAGACTCTAAATTCTCACCATTACTTCTGCTGTTCCTAGTCAGAGCTACCATCATTTCTCCACTGGATCATTCTGGAGGCCTCCTATCTGACCTTTCTCCTTTTATCCTCTCCTCCTATAATCTATTCTCCCCATAGTCTATATTACATCCTGTTAAAATATAAATCAAATTATGGAATTCTTCTGCTCAAAACCCTGTAAGAGCTTCCTTTCACATAGGGCTCAAAGTCCTTACAATGGCCTATAAGGTCCTGCCCGATCTAGTCCCTACAACCTCACTGAGTTGATTCCCCACCTCACTCACTCCACTCCAAGTTGAGGAGCCTCCATACTATTCTTCAAATTGCCAGACCCACTTTTACCCTACAACCTGTCCACTAACTGTCCCTCTGCTGGAATGAAGTTGCTCAGACATCCACGTGGCTGTCTCAGAAACTTCTAGTCAGTGATTACACATCTTCGTGACTCAGCCTACCCTGATCACCATGTTTAATATTGCAACATGCTACCCTCTTCCCCTACTTTTTCTTTTATCCATAATACTTATCCTTTCCCTAAACACTATATGTTATATATAGCTTACATATAACTATAATATAGATTACACAGTTGGTCTCTTTAATATATTTATTTATTATCTCTTGCAGCTACTACGTAAACTCCCCAAGGGCAGGGACTTTTGTCTGCTTTGTTTACTGATGTATATCAGGTACTTGTTGAAAGAAAGGCAGGCAGAAAAATTCAGAAGCTATTGTAGTAGTCTAAAACACAGCTAATGAAGGTTTTGTTCGGTCCTACCCTACAAATATTTATTGGGAGTACAAAGATAAATAATCCAGAATCCCTGCCCTTAAAGACCTTTCAGTGGACGGATAGACAAGTAATTTCAACATGTTCAAAGATAACAGAGCAAAACCAGGGTATCCTGGGAAGAAAGAACAGCAGGAGCAAAGGTTGGGAGGCATGAAACAGCATCACATATTTAGAGAAGTGAAAGCACATTGATATACTCAGATGCGATGGTCTATTTGATGAACCAACTTGGCCAGGCTACAGTCTCCAGTTATTCAATGAACACTAATCTAGTGCTGCAATGAAGGTGTTTTGTAGATGCAATTAAAGTTCATAGTCAGTTGACTTTATGTAAAGGAGATTCTCCTTGATAATCTAGGTCAGTTGAAAAGCCTTAAAAGCAGAGCTGAAGCTTTTAAGAGCTGTGCCCAAGAGTTCCAGCCTGCCCTTGCAGATAGCCTGACCTATGAATTCAGACTTGCCTAGCCATCTCCCACAATGAAAGCCAATTCTTTGTAATTAGTCTCTAGTACATACTTTCTACTGGTTTTGCTTTTCTGATTGAACCTTGATTGATGCACTATAGTAATAAAGCTTAAGGAAGAAGAGGGCAAAAAATGAAGGGTGAAAGCAGTAGGGGCCAGATCACAAAAGGCATTTGTTTTTAACATGCTAAGAAGTTTGAACTGGACCCTGTAATTGGTAGAACAAGCACAGTAACTGATTAGGGGTACAGATGAATCATTCTGGATTTGGTACGTACTGGGAAAGGAGGCAAGAGGAGGAAAGAGATGCTGGAGTGGGAGAAACCAGGAAAGTTACATGCGAGAGAAATAAGAGAAGAACCCTAAGATTGTCATGGAAGCCAAGGGAACAGTGTTTGGGAAACAAGTGGGTTGTCCACCTTGGTCTGGTGCATCAGGAAAGTCTGGCAAGCATCCACTACATTGTGATAAAAGGAGGTCACTGAGGGCCTCAAAAACAGCCAGAATGGAATGGAGGAGCTAGAAACCAGATTGTGTTGGTTACTCTCGACAGAACAGAGCAATCAAAAGTAAATTATTATTTTCAGAAGTTTGGCTTGGAAGGGAGGAGGAAAAAGTGGCAGAAGAGGGAAAAGGGTACAGTGTTAAATGATCAGAATGGTAGAAGCTTGAGCCTTTTCATAGACTGAAGGTAAACAGCTAGCAGTGTGGAAGGGTGAAAGAGATGAAAACAAGAGGACACATTCTCCTGAGGAAGCTTCAGAAGAGGTGAAAGGTGACCATGGCTAAAGGACATGGGTAAGAGCTTGGTCAAAGACAGTGGGAGGCCCCTCATCTTCTGAAAACTGGAGGAAAGTGGGGAATGATGCATAAAGAGCAATACATTTGAAGAGAGAGGATAAGGGACCTCCAGTAATTCATGCCCAACGGCCCTGGTGTTTCTTGATGGGTTAGGAAGCAAGGTTACATGCTAAGAGAGAGAAGGTGGTGTGACATGAGTAGAGATGGAGGCTGGCTTCAGTAGCAGCTGTGTGGTCATCCACTAGGACATTACAGAGAGGAATCAGGATTGGGTGAGAGTTATTCTCAATGACTTATGAATTCTTTCGCAATTTGATGTTTCTATAAAGTCACTTTGCAGGAACATTGCCTTGGTCACTGATATTTCCTTGAACCCAAAACAATGCCTAGCATGTAGCTGGCACTCAATACATATTTGTTCAATGAATGAATGAATACTTAAATGAGCTTTTCCCCCAAATAAGCACATAAGATGTTTTTACTTCATTTAATGTAGAATCATTTTAATATTTTAAAGAGATCACAGATGCTTCCCAGAAGACTTAAAACAATATAATATAATGACTCCAGTCTTCTCTCCTGATCTCAGGAGGATGTGGGCAAGCCAACACAGATAACCTAGGTTTCAAAGTGGGTGTTTTTTGGCTTGAATTTTTTTCCTGACCAATCTTAGAGCAAATTATCAGGAAAATGACCAAATCTCTATGTTGTTTTATTATATAATGAGCTTTCCTGAACTGAGCAAGAGTTTATGCACTCTGATTTTCATTTAGATTCTACCACTGTGCACATAGCCTCAACCTTCTCTGAACCACCAAGCTCTCTCCCCTCTTATTCGTCTTGGTGATATTTACCATTGACTGAGGTGAGCAGAAGGGGAAATAGAACAAGACTCCTAACAAAAGCAAGCTTAGCTGAAAGTATGGCATATTTACACAATAAAAATATAATGCAGACTGTGGTCAGGTTGCTACTGAAATGGGTCCCCGTTGAACTTCCCCATGCATCACCTGGGTGGAAGACTTTGGTTTTTCCATTAGTGATTCCAGAAGAGCTTGCCTCCATTTTTATTGACCTTCTGCCTGGTGGGAGTGAGGAATGCCTGACCACAGGCAGGCGACGACGTGACGCTGGGCGGCTTGCCACACTTCGCCGTTGATGGATTTGCAAACGCTTTTCAGCCCCATGAATAGATAAACTTAAACCTGGAATGAGAAATGGCACCATTAGACTGAAGAAGTCACTTCAGAATGGCTAAAAGGCTGTTACGCTCTCATATGAAGTCCAGAGAACAGAAGCAACCATGTTTCAAATTCTTAAGGTATGCATCACTCAAAAGTAGACATCCTTAGTTACCAAGACAAGACTTTTATGAATCAGGATCCAATCAGTCAAATCTGAAAATTCTTATAAAAATTCCTTCCAAAATGCTGGGAAAATGTGCACATATTTGACATGCTGTTGCCAAAGCAGTAGGGCTTAGGAACTACTGTTGGGGTATCTGGAATTTCAATAAAAATCAAGAACTTTCTCCACAAGATTCACAGATAGGCCAAAGTTGTTGGCTAAACTCACATTTACACTCTTGATAACCTTAGAATTATATGCATCTTGAGAACTATTTTATTTGGAAATATTTCAAACATACCAAAAGCAAAATGAATAGTATAATGAACTCCATGTACTCATCAACCAGTGTCAACAAATATCAAGATTTTTCCAATTTTTTTTCATCGATCCCACTCCCTTTGTTGTTGATTTGCTTTTTAGATGCTGGAGTATTTAAAGCAAATTCCAGACATCATGTCAATCTCCTCAAAAGTAGAATTGATTACATCAGCCTATATAGATTACATCATTAATATGGACTCCATCTACTGATGCATATCAACTGTATAAAGAAAGGCTGAGTTCAATGTGTATCTTTTTAAAACACTCATTGTTCACCATTGGAGGTTCCTAAGATACCAATTCGTTACTCAGAAGATTAATAAAGGGAATAAAGCAAGCATTTATCCTGCCTTTACTAGCCATTTTTTATTAGTTGATGAGGGAAAATTCTTCACTACAGAAGAATTCTTGCTAAGAAACACCGATAAGAAAGAGAATTAAAAATTATTTTGGATTTTTTGGTTTTCTGTCCCTGTGATAGTTTGCTGAGAATGATGGTTTCCAGCTTCATCCATGTCCCTATAAAGGACATGAACTCATCCTTTTTTATGGCTGCATAGTATTCCGTGGTGTATATGTTCCACATTTTCTTAATCCAGTCTATCATTGACGGACAGAAAAACCCAAACACTGCATGTTCTCACTCATAGGTGGGAACTGAACAATGAGAACACTTGGACACAGGAAGGGGAACATCACACACTGGGGCCTGTCATGGGGTAGGGGGAGGGGGGAGGGATAGCATTAGGAGATACCTAATGTAAATGACGAGTTAATGAGTGCAGCACACCAACATGGCACATGTATACATATGTAACAAACCTGCACGTTGTGCACATGTACCCTAGAACTCAAAGTATAATAAAAATAAATAAATAAGTAAGTAAATAAAAAGAGAAAGAAGGAGGGAGGGTGGGAGAGGGAGAGAGAGAGAAGGAAGTAGGGAGAAAAGAAAGGAGGGAAGGAGAGAAAGAGAGAGAGAGAAAGGCTGGAAGTAGGCTGGATGTTACTATTCCTGACACCTGTAATATTAGTATTTCTGGGCTTGAAATTCTTTTTTATGCAAATCCTTCTTTCTTTCTGAGTGAGAACTGTACTTTTTAATAAAAATTGTGTAACTGTAAGGATTACATTAGATAGTACATGTGAAACATTCAGAAAAGTAGCCACAGGTATGTCTTAAGTATTGGAATCAGAGTGCGTAGGTTTGAATCACAACCTCTTCCTTTACTGGCCAGGTATTTCTAGGCAAGTTCATTAGCCTCTGAGTCTCAGGTTTCTTTATATGTAAATGGGATATAAAACAGTATCTACCTTATAATGTTGTTGTATGCATTAAAATGGATATTGAACATTAAAAAAATGGAATGTAAAAAAAATTATTTTAAAGCTACAATAAGAAGTCTACTAAAAACCCAGAAACAGGGAAAATAACAAGTCTGCTAAGAGGTAAACTGCAAAATCACCAATCATAGGTCATGTCAAAGGTAAGAAGGGTCACCTTAAATTTTCCCAGGGGAAAAAGAGGATATGACCTGGGCCAATTTGTAAACTCTAGCAAATCTTAAGGAAGGA
This sequence comes from Homo sapiens, assembly GCF_000001405.40. Taxonomy (NCBI): domain Eukaryota; kingdom Metazoa; phylum Chordata; class Mammalia; order Primates; family Hominidae; genus Homo; species Homo sapiens. Next base: position 100,899,604 of record NC_000012.12, on the reverse strand, counting down.
TGACTCAAATCAGATTAGGGCTTGTTAAGCCAGGAAATCATTAAAACAAACTGTAACAAATATAGGCAGCACTCATCTAAGAAACAGACTAAGTTCAAGAATTCCAGTTGCACCGCCAGACAGTCCTGACATATGGTTTTACTCTCCTTTATCCATTTAACTGCCCTCATTCCAACAGTGCTCACCGGATAACCTATGGATTAGGATTGGGCTTCCAGTACAGGAAGAGAGTTTTCACGCTAGTGTTCCTGTCTACCTGGCAGCTAGGGTTCTCAGTGTGAGCTAACAGATGGACATCCTGGGCTTTCACACATCTACCTCCACATGAATTGCTTGGTATGAGTCTGCCCCCAAGATGTTGTTTCTAAGCCCACAATGCTGTGAGCCTAAGCCTTGGTCTCAGGAGATTCACCCAGGTTAGGACTGTCAGGCTGGGTGGCCCCGTAGGAGATAGGCTGGCAGGCTGCCCCCAGGCACTCTGATGCTCAGGTGCCTAGGCAAGTATGAGCCTTCTACTCCCAGAGGTCTCTCTCTATAAGTAGGACAGACACCACAGCATCAACCACACATGCATCATCCACATCATGGTGGAGTGATTTTCTTCCACTCCACCATGCTCTGTGCCACTGGTGCATGTTCCCTGTTTCCACGGAGGTACAAACTGAACCATCTGTAGACCCATCAAGACTCCAGAAGAATGCAAACAGCTTTGTGGATGACAGATGAAGGGAAGGGGAGAGACATTTTAAGTCAACATCAGATGATACATGCACTCTCAGTCTGCAAATATGAAATAGACTGCTCTCCTGAAAAAATTTCTTCTTTTCCTTTTTGCAGAGGCTTATTGGGCTGAGGGGAACAGGATTCTGACTCAGCACAGCACTTTTAGCTTTTATATAACTTTTCTGAAGGAAGCACAAAATGACGTAAATGAGAATAGAAATTGTATCATGGAAATAAATGGCATTTTTTTAAAATATATAACTTGAAATTGTGTTTTTAAAATATAATAATGTAGATCATAGCAAAAAATGTTAAAAATAAAAAATAATTCAAGAATATTACCAGGAGAAGATAGGTATGAGGAAAGTGGGTATGTTACATGGAAATTTGGAAGGAATCTTTAATGCCTGAGAAAAATCCATGTTCTTCCTCTAGGAATTAAGGGTCCTCAAAGTACAGATAAAGGGCCTAGCCTAAAAGAGCTCTCCTCACACAAGGGCTAAGTCAATGGGAGAAAGAGATTTGTAAATAAATAGCTAGTATGCAAGATAGAAAATATACTCTGGGCATTTGAAAATGTTAACATTTATAGAACATTCTGAAGTCACATCTTTAGAAATGAATTGTCAGCCAATAAATTACATCATCCAATTTGTTCTTAGTCTAAAAAAAAATTGTTGACACTATCTATTAAATGTCAGGCACCACACTCGATATTGATCATTATCCCATTAATGTATCATCACAACCATAAGAGCCTGAGAATTGGTATCTATGTTTTACAAATGGGAAATCTGAGGCTCGAGAAGTTACTTGACCAAGGTCACACAACAAAGTGATTAACTGATATTTTAACCTTGCCTTTTTCCACTATACCATGCAGTCTAATGGATTCAATACCAATATAAACACTCATTGTTTTAAGCCTGCAGTGGTTCTGAATAGTAACTTAACAGAAAGCTATCCTGGGTGGGGGACAGATTGGAAGCCCAGAATGTTGAGAGTCCTTTGGCCTAAGCTCTTAAAGAACCATCTGTTTCTCCCCTCTCCCATGCTTGGCCCATGGCATCGTCCAGGCTGAAATGTCCTCCTGATTCTTGATCAGCTGTCAAAGACCTTAGTAAGAACTATCTAGAGCTGTACCTTCCCCTTGACACATTTCAGTTCCTCTGACCCACTCCAGTCTCTAGTCTTGCAATTAGCCCTTATCATGTAATGCCCTTGAACTCTCATTCATCTGCCAGTACATGGATGGTCCATTTCTCAAACGTTCAAGAGTTTCTAATGACAAAGGTCATATTGTGCAGTTTTCGGATTCCTTCTTCGTCTCTGAACAAAGTACTTTCCATAGGGCAGGTGTGGGGCGATGATGCCCCTTCAGTCCCTTTTCCTTCTGCACTTGGCACGCTACATGGTGCAGACATCTTGGGCACAGATGGCACAGTGCCAAAAGCCAGTCAAGGAAATAACACTGAGCATGCTTCACTGTGCAGCAAGTTTTTCATTTAGTGCTTCCTGTTTTATTGTATCCTCACTGTCTTTCCTAGGCTCCCTGAGGTCAGAAACTTAGCTGCCTCCCTCAGCCTCATCAGATAGCCTCCTCTCCAACTCAGCTGAGAAGATGGGGTCCAGGTGATATAAAGTTCCTAATCTTCCTCCTTTCAACCTCAAATAATCATTACAAAAATACCTTTTCCTCTTGAGACACATCATCTACCTTACTTGATAAAAGACCCAAAGTCAGAACCTTGGGAAACACACACCTTGGGGGATAAGGTGAGGTTAGTACAAAGTAGTGGCTAAAATGTGGATGCTGTAGCCAGAATTCTGGGCTCAAATCTTGGCCACACCATTTACCACCTATGTTACTTAATGCATTTATTTAAATTTTTGCCTCAGTTTTTTCACCTGTAAAATGGGGTAACAATAATTCATACCTGATAGGGTTTTGTGAGAATTGAGTTTATATCTGCAGAGTGCTTATGGCAATGTCCAGCATAATGGGTGCTCAGTACAAGTTAGCTGCCATCATTAGCTTCTATCATATCAATGATTCTCCTCAATCTTCATTTTTACCCATTAGGCTTTAGGCTCTAGCGTTTATACCATTGCCTCTGCTCATCTGTTTTTAAACTCTTGCTTTGGCTTTCGTTTTCATGACACTTAAGCTTCTTGCTACCTCCCCTTACTTTTTTAAACTCTTTCTGTTCCTGTTCCCAAAGGTGGGTATATTAGTTCCCAAAGCCCAATTTAACAAATTACCACAACCAGGATGAGTTCAAACAAGATTTTATCATCTCACAGTTCTGAAGGCCAGGTGTCTCTCACCATGGTGTCGGCAGGGCTCTGTGTCACTGCTGTATGTTCCCTGTTTCCACAGAAGTGCAAACTGAACACCTGTAGGCCAATCAAGACTCCAGAAAGGTAGACAGAAGCTCTGGGGAGAATCCATTCCTTGCCTCCTTCAGCTTCTCACGGGCGCCAGCATTCCTTGGTGTTCCTCGCCTTGTGACAACATCACTCCAATCTCTATCTCTGTGATTATATCACCTTCTCAGTGTTTGTGTCTAATCTCCCTCTGCCTCTCTCTTATAAGGACGCTGGTTGTGACATTTAGGGATCACCTGGATAATGGAGGATAATCTCCCTATCTCAAGATTCCTAAGTAAACCACATATGCAAAGACTCTTTTCAAACAAGGTAACACTTGCAGGTTCTGGGAATTAGAATGTGGACAGATATTTGGGAGCCATTATCAGCCCACCACAGTGGGCATTTTCCAAAGTTTTGATTTTGGCCTTTTCTTCTCTCCATCCTGTCCATCCTTGGGGATGTTATGCACTCCTTATCTCCATCTGTAATCTCTGTGTGATCAGCTCCCCATGTCATGCCTCCCACTTTACTCTGTCTCCTAAACATCAAGCCTATGTTTCCTGCTTGGTCTGAGTTTTCTCAAGAGACACTTGATGAGTATACGGGAACACAATAAATGACTAATATTTTAATAAATAAAAATCAAAGGCCAGGCACAGTGGCTCACACCTATAATCCCAGCACTTTGGGAGGCCAAGGCGGGTGGATCATCTGAGGTCAGGAGTTTGAGGCCAGCCTGGCCAACATGGTGAAACCCCATCTCTGCTAAAAATACAAAAATTAGCTGGGCATGGTGGTGGGTGCCTGTCATCCCAACTACTCGGGAGACTGAGACAGGAGAATCGCTTGAACCCAAGAGGCGGAGGTTTCAGTGAGCTGAGATAGCACCACTGCACTCCAGCCTGGGCAACAAAGAGCAAAACTCTGTCTCAAAAAAAAAAAAAAAACAAAGCTCAGATTTTCTTTAAGGCTCTCAAATATTTTCTTTACTCCTCAAAAATCCTACCGAAAAAGTGAAAATTTTTCTGAATAACATAAAATTCTTAGGTGTTCTTTCTCTCTGGCCCACTTCCAAGGTGTGCTATTTCTGGCTTCACTGCACAGTTAGCAGTGTGCCTATGTAAAAATGATTTGCTTTCATCCAAATGTCATTTCTGTGATTCAGAAGGACTCTATGCCACAGGAACATTTGTCGTTCTGTCAATGTTTTACAACTCACAGCAATGCTGTCTATGTGTTGCATTACTCTTCTTGTCATTTCTTAGGTAAATTACTTTTCAAAACACTGAAAAACTATGTTTTGAATGTCACCACCACACACAAAACATAAGACTCATCTATTCTTAATTAAAAAAAAAAACCTGTAGAAGGGAATATTTATTTCGAGTTTCCTCTTTAACTGCAAAGTGGAGGGTAAATCCAGTGCTTCGCCTTCCTGGAACATTGACCAGAAGGAAGGTGGGAACTCTCTTGGTTACTCTCAGGTCTGAATTTACTTTTCCAAACTTTCTGGAGCTTTTCTTTTTCTTTTTTTTTTTTTTTTGAGATGGAGTCTCGCTCTGTCGCCCAGGCTGGAGTGCAGTGGCGGGATCTCGGCTCACTGCAAGCTCCGCCTCCCGGGTTCACGCCATTCTCCTGCCTCAGCCTCCCAAGTAGCTGGGACTACAGGCGCCCGCCACCACGCCCGGCTAATTTTTTGTATTTTTAGTAGAGACGGGGTTTCACCGTTTTAGCCGGGATGGTCTCAATCTCCTGACCTCGTGATCCGCCCGCCTCGGCCTCCCAAAGTTTTCTGGAGCTTTTCTAATATCCTCTCTTATTTGACTCAAAGGACACTTGACAAAATGTTTATAAAATAGACTGATACCCTCCCACATCCAAGGGAGGAAAAAGCTCAAACACGTAGGTATACATGCGGAAGAGGTAGCACCTCATGTGTCATTAGCTTAGGTATGTTCCCATAAGAGGGGGCAGAATTTGTGCTATCTTAGTTAAGCGAGCTCAGGTGGACCCACAGAAAACAGGTTTGGAGGGGCTTTGAGCATCAGAATTGGTGGGTAACTGAAAGTAGGTGCATTTCTGAGAGTAGTATGAGTTCTAACCCACGTAGGACCGCCCCCGCTCCCCCCAACCACCGAACCCAGAGACCTGAAGATAGGTTGTTGCTTAGTCTCAGTAGGGCTGATGAGAGGATTTGCTACTGCCCAACCATCCTCCACCACACCAGGTCCTTGGCCCTGTCATGCCTCCTTTTATTTCTCTTCTCACTTAGTGTCAGGCTATTTGACAGATTAGCATCAGCATGTCACAAAAATCTGGCAGTAGCAACACATCAAAACCAGGAAGAACTTTCTGCCAAGGTGCTGTCCTTTGTAATTCTGTTACAATTATGTCTAAAGCCACGTTAACTGAGCGTTTAAGCGCATTGAAAAGAAACCAACATGCTAAGGACTAGATATAATATTTTCTAGATCTAACCTTTGGCTCAATATCTACATGAAGAATTTATAGATCAGAAAGGGTAAGAGCCTGTAAGAATGTTTGACCAGCGTTACTTAAATTCAAATAAAGTGCTGCAGTTAGATTATTGGTGCTTTCTCTCCTTCAAATCCTCCTTTAGATTCTTTACAGGCTTTTTGTAACTTCTTTCTTTCCTGTTGCTGAGGCTGAGTGAGAATCTCCCTTTTAATCCCCCTGCGACCAAATTCTATCAGGACTTCATTTCAGGAAACCACAGTGGCAGAGTAGATTATTGCCCCTGATTCGTAATTCATAACTTCTCTCTGCCATGTGACTTGTTAGTACTTCCCAATAGAGAGAGAAGGTATATTCCCTGCTCCATTGGTTTTGGACTTGGCCATCATGACTTGCTTTAGTCAAAGGGATGTTAGCAAACAGATGAAAGCAGAAATGTGCTTGTGTGGTTTAGGCTTGGTCTCTTTTGCTTCTGCTATTATCATAAAAAGCACATGTCCCGACTAGCCATGGGTCCCAGAAGGAGACACTAAGAACAAACTCAAACCTGATCTGCAACCTGGACCAAGCCTTACTTAAACCAGCCAATATCAGGCAAACAACAGCTGCCTGAAAAAACTCTGAACAAAAAGACAAATGTTTCTGGGTGTGAACCACTGAGATTTGGGTTTGTTGGTTCATAGAAAAAACTTGATGAACACACCTCCAATAATGGTCTCCATAAGGTGAAAATGAAACAGTGCTGGTGCTCACAGTTTGGTCCTAAGTAGTGAGTTCATGAAAAAAAAAAAAATCCTCCTTCTTGCCTGAAATGCTCTCTTTCATAGCCCTAATCCAATATATTCTCCTAAGATCAGCTCATTCACCACCCTTCTGAAGAAACCCCATTATTCCCAACCCCTAACTCTACCAAGCATCCCCAGAACCCTCAGCTCACATGTCCCTCCCCTGCACTCTGTTAGCACCTGGTACATAACTACACCAAGACCTACCCAACTGCACTGTGATTGTCTATATATATGTCCCCTGAATGTGGGGCCAGGACTGTGTCTTATTTCATGCCTATCACAATGCCTAGCTCACAGTAGACATTAATGTAAATAGTTCTAGAAAGAAACGGAGGGTGCCGGGGGTGGCAGGGAGCCGGCAGGACAGGTATCAAACAAAGTACAGACGGCCCTCCTTATCTGCAGTTCCCATGTCTGTGGAATAAACCAACCTCGGATAGAAAATATTCAGAAAAAAAAAAACTACAATTAAAACAATAATAAAGGAAAATAAATTTTAAAATACAGTATAACAACTATTTACATATCATTTACATTGTACTGGGTATTATAAGTAATCTAGAGATTATTTAAAGTATATGGAAGGATGCACATAGGTAATATGTAAATACTTTGCTATTTCATGTAAGGGACTTGAACATTTTGGTATCTGGGGAAGGGAGGGAGGTGGTTATCCAGGAACTAATCTTTCTAGGGATACCTAAGGAAGACTACAGGTAACTAAACTCAAATATTCTCAAATGCCAGACTTCTGTTACGTTGATTTTGTCTGGAGAGTGTTCAGTCCCTGGGAGATTAGCTAAGACCTTGGAAGAGGGGGTGAGTAAGGGAAAGTGGTCATTGAAGACAACCTTGAATAGCTTAGCCTTCCCACTCTCCTTTCCTCAACCCTACTAGCCCATCTACAGTGAAAACAACCTGAGATTTTTTTTAATTCATAAAGAGTGATTTAAAACTCTTTAAATGTTGTAGTATATAGCCAAAGGAGATGAAAGTAGTACGTCCAACAGCTATCAGTACTCCTGTGGTCACTGCAACTTTAGACACAATAGCCAAAACACAGCCATAATATGGAATCTAAGTATCTATCAATGGAAAAATTGACAGAGAAAATGTGTGGTGGATATATTCAAAGACATTCTATTCAACCTTAAAAAGAAAAACAAGGAAAATCCTGTCATTTGCAATAATATGGATGAACCTGGAGGACATTAAGTAAAATAAGCCAGGCACAGGAAGACAAACTCCACATGATCTCAGTTATTTGTGGAATTTTGAACTCATAAGTACCAGAGAGTAGAATGGCGGTTACCAAAAGCTGGGGGGTGGAGCTCAGTTGTGGAGATGTTGGTCAAAGGATACAAAATTTCATTTAGACAGGAGAAATAAGTTCTGGGGATCTATTATACAAAATAGTGGGTATACTTAATAATAATGTATTGTATTCTTAAAAATCACTAACAGAGTAATTTTAAGCATTCTCACCATAAAAATTGACAAGTATGTGATATAACATATGTATTAATTGCATTGATTTAGCTATCCCACAATGTATACACATTTCAAAACTTTATGTTATAAATGATAAACATATACAATTTTTATTTGTTAATTGAAAATAAGTACATAAATAAAATATTAAAATAAAAATAAATCTTAAAAAATAATGTAGATGTCATTGGGTAATTAATTGCAAATTAAAACAACGAGATACCACTCCACATCTATTAGAATAGTGAAAGTCAAAAACACCAACAACATCAAATGATGGCAAGAATACAGTGCGACAGGAACCTTCATTCACTGCTGGTGGAAATACAAAATGGTATGGCCACTTTGGAAGACAGTTTGGCAGTTTCTCACAAAACTCAACTTACTCTCACCATACAATCCAGCAATCATGCACCTTGGTATTTACCCAAGTGAGATGAAAACTTATGTTCCCACAGAAACCTGCGCATGAATGTTTACAGCAGTTTTATTCATAATTGCCAAAACTTGGAAACAACCAAGATGTCCTTCAGTAGGTAAACTGACAAATAAACTGTGATACATTCAGACAATGGAATATTATTAAGCATTAAAACAAAACAAACTGTCAAGCCATGAAAAGACATGTGGGAACCTTAACTGTCCATTTACTTACCTTAAATGTTCAAGAACCATTACTAAGTGAAAGAAGCCAGTCTGAAAAGGCTACATATTACATAGTTCCAACTACATGGCATTCTAGAAAAGGCAAAACTATGGAGACAGTAAAAAGATCAGTGGTTGCCACGAGGAAAGAAGAAAGGAGGGAGAAATAGGCAGAGCACAAGGGATTTTTAGGGCAATAAAACTACTCTGTTTAATGCTATAATGGTGCATACATATTGTAATAAATTTGTCAAAACCCACAGAATGTACAACACCAACAGTGAACGCTAATACACACTATGGACTCTGGGTGATGATGTGTCAATGTAGGTTCATCAATTGTAATAATTGTACCACTCTGGTGTGGGAAGGTCATAATAGAGGAGGCTATGCACATGTAGGGGCAGGAGATACACAAGGAATGTCTGTATTTTGCAGTCAATTTTGCTGTGAACCTAAAACTGCTCTAAAAAATACAGGCTATTAAAAAAGATGCTCTTCACTGCTGGTAACATAAGAAAATGGGGGCTCTCAGACATGGCTATCTCACCATTCGCAATCAGATCATTTGACAAAACTAAAAATTTCATACCCATATAAGGTTTCTCTCACAGATATTTAATATGTTTCAAATTGCAACTAAATGTTATTTCTTACTACTTAAAAATAGGATCATCTCTTTGGACCCAAGAATTCTACTTCTAGGAAGTTATCTCAAGAAAATGATAAGACATACTAACAGTTACGTAAGAAAATGTTCCATTCAAAATTTTTATTAAATAGGGAAGCAATAGAGAGATGGACTTTTGTGTTGAATGGATATTCGTGCATATTCTGGGTCTATCTTGTAGTAGCTGTGGAACTTCTGATGAGTTATGATTGAGTTACTACGTGAGCTTCAATTTCCTCTTTTACAAAATGGGAGTTTAAATTCATACTTCAAATATTCATAATAAGGGCTAAAAAAAGTATATGTTTTCACACAGCATGGTGCCTGACATACTCAATAAATAGTACTTAGTATCATAATTATAATTAATACTGACATAACTATAATAATTATGATTATAGTAATATTAGAAACTAGAAAAATAACTGTTAATAGGGCAATAGTTAAATATATTATGGTCCACTGATAGGTTAGAATGCCACCTAGCAAACATGTTGGTGAAAAATGGATTTATGATATGAAAAATTCATTTATTCTTCAAATTAATTTATTCTTCCATTTATTTATTCAGTCAGTCCTTATTGTCTTTCTCATTTGAACACTGATTTATGAGGATATAGAACATTAAGTGTTGAACTAGTTTACATCCCACCAACAGTGTAAAAGTGTTCCTATTTCTCCACATCCTCTCCAGCACCTGTTGTTTCCTGACTTTTTAATGATTGCCATTCTAACTGGTGTGAGATGGTATCTCATTGTGGTTTTGATTTGCATTTCTCTGATGGCCAGTGATGATGAGCATTTTTTCATGTGTCTGTTGGCTGCATAAATGTCTTCTTTTGAGAAGTGTCTGCTCATATCCTTTGTCCACTATTCGAGGGGGTTGTTTTTTTCTTGTAAATTTGTTTGAGTTCATTGTAGATTCTGGATATTAGCCCTTTGTCAGATGAGTAGTAAACTAGTTCAACCATTGTGGAAGTCAGTGTGGCGATTCCTCAGGGATCTAGAACTAGAAATACCACTTGACCCAGCCATCCCATTACTGGGTATATACCCAAAGGACTATAAATCATGCTGCTATAAAGACACATGCACACATATGTTTACTGCGGCACTATTCACAATAGCAAAGACTTGGAACCAACCTAAATGTCCGACAATGATATACTGGATTAAGAAAATGTGGCACATATACACCATGGAATACTATGCAGCCATAAAAAATGATGAGATCATGTCCTTTGTAGGGACATGGATGAAATCGGAAATCATCATTCTCAGTAAACTATCGCAAGGACAAAAAACCAAACACCACATGTTCTCACTCATAGATGAGAATTGAACAATGAGAACACATGGACACAGGAAGGGGAACATCACACTCTGGGGACTGTTGTGGGGTGGGGGGAGGGGGGAGGGATAGCATTAGGAGATATACCTAATGCTAAATGACGAGTTAATGGGTGCAGCACAGCAGCATGGCACATGCATACATATGTAACAAACCTGCACATTGTGCACATGTACCCTAAAACTTGAAGTATAATAATAATAATAATAAAAATAAGAGACTACCTATAAAAAGAAAAAAAAGAACATTAAGTGTTAAGGCTGAAAGGGATGAATTTCCAAGGTGTTCATTTCCCCCAGTCTGGGCCTCGTTTTCCTCATTTGTAAACTGAAAGGCTGGAGATGGTCCCTGTGCTGGTGACGTTTTGTGGGCCTCCACCTACTTCAAATCCATTCTCCACCTGTTCTGTGTCCTGGGAAGGTGACTCCTTCATCACCTGGGCTCCCTCACAGGCCTCCAGTTGGCCTCAGCCAATGGAGGCACAAGAAGGAGCTAAAGGTTGGGAGGAAAAACAGGCTGAGTTACTTCTTCCCTGCTCCCTTCCTGTGTGAATACTTGTGAGGGCCCTAGCCATTTGGAAAGCCCTCTGCAAGGTCTACTCCTATTGGGTAGCCCCTTTCCCAGGGCTCCTGCTCTTGCGCGGCTCCAATATTGCCCTTGCCTCTTGAGGCATGTTTTATAAAGGCTCCTCACCCTTGCTAGACCCTGGGTGCTTCACCATCTCTTGTCAATTTCCATAACCCAGCCTCTCCTTTGTAACATCTTTATTAAAATCTGTTTGTTTGTTGGAATTCTGATTCCTAACTGAACCCTCACTGTGAGAGTCTTGAAAATCCACCCCTTTCCATTTTAACACTTAATGTTTCTACATCCTATAAATCAACTGGAACATACTGAAAACCTCCTTGTAAGGTTCTCAAATACATCACATTTGCTACCGTTTACTTTTATTTCCCAAGATTTTCTCATTTTGTGTCAATTTGGGTCATCTTTTTTTCCCTCCCTGCTCTGAATGCCAATCTAAATCCTGAATTTCTCACTTTGTCTCACCCTGTGATACTTAATTTATCTTAAACCTTTACATTCTCACTCAGGGAAATACTTAGGAAGCAGATATTTATTTCCGGTCACCTCACAAAAGTTTAAGGGTTTTCCTTGTGTTCTGTGGACTTAGGCACAACGTAGCCCACCCTTGACCTCCCACAGCTAGACATAAACTCTATATCATCACAACAGGAAATTCTCCCAAGTGATATTTAAGGATGTGAACTAGATAGAAGTAGGCAATTGTAAGTTTATAGTTTAAAAGTAATACCTTGGGGAAAAGGTTCTTTCTGAGATCTTCAATTATTTATTGACTTATTCATTTAATAAATATTTGTCAAGAGCTTTCTCTGTGCCAAACACTGAGGATTCAGAAATTAAAAGACAGAGTCCTTGCACTCATGAGCTCACTGTCTGACAGAGGCATTCCCCAGTACTAAAGCAGCAAAGGCAAGGACAGCTAATGCACTTCGCAGGAGGACATGACATCAATACTTCTTGGGTTTTAGAAAGAAAAAAAAAAAAGAAAGAAACCCAGGGTCATTTGGTTTCTCCTTTAGGAGCAAGAGAGGAATCTCTGGTTTTCCTAAAACAAATTTAACTATTTGGCATTTTTCATAAGAGAGTAGCATGGTCAAATATTATCATACCCTAGGCAGTCAACAAAAATAGCTGAGTAGGAACTAGATATCTACCTCACATGGTGAAACCCATGCATAATGAAAAAGTATACTCTGCAATCCTAAATTTCAGTGGACCACTTATTAAATGAGATCACCAAGTGAGCTGCTTAAATGGCTTAGGAATATTATTTCTTAAGATCCTTGGACTCAATTTTGCAGCTTATCTTGGCAGTCAAAAAAGCGCTTCTCGAAGTGAAACATGAAATGGTTTACTACCAGAAACATCAAATGATAAGCACTAACCCCCTAAAGGGAACACTGCTTTATATAAGATTTTTGTCACTTAGCCAAGTGAGCAAAATGTAGTTTAAAAAATTTTTTTACAGGCAATCTATTGTCCCCAACAACTACTGAGCCCTACCCCTGCTAGGCCCAAGGATAGAAACAAGGATGAAAAAGGCAGAATCTATGTCTACAAGAGGAGATCGTTCTTGCCAGGAAAAAAGTTGTGCAGAAGTGACTCTAACAGAAGGAGATGTCAAAGATGCACAAGGTAGACTATGTAATCTCTGAGGGGAGAAAGGGGTCAGCATGTTTTTTTCTGTAAAGAGCCAGAGCATAATTTATTTTGGGCTTTGTGGGCCATATGGTCTCTGTTGCAGCTACTCAACTCTGCTACTGTAGACCCAAAAGCAGCCACAGACAATACATAAACGAATGAGTGTGACTGAGTTCTAATAAAACTTATAAAACTAAGCAATAGGCTGGATTTGGCCTGTGGGCTGTAGTTTGCTGACCTCTGACTTACACGGTTCAGGGAAAGGCTACCAGGGAAGGCTTCACAAAGAGAGTGGTGGGTATTGTCACTAAGCCTCATTGCTGGGTAGATTTCTCATAGGCAGAGATGGAGGAGAAGAGCACGCCCCCCATGGTGAAGGTTCAGGTATGAAAGAACAAGGCTCATTCATGAAAGGAAAAGATGTCCTGTTTCAAGCATGTTTAAGATGCGTGAGCAGTGACTGGTTGTTGAGACTGAAAGCAACGATCTTCACAACATACTTTTGTATGAAATTTTTAAATTTTTAGGGAATTCCTGAAGAAAACTCACTTATATGCTACACTGGATGTAGTCTCCATGCTAAGACAGCGGGGAATCACTTAAGATGCTGGAGCAAGGTGGAAGGGAGGGGCGGGTCTGGGGGTGGGGGTTGCATAATCAGAGCAAAGGTTTAAGAATACTGTTCTACTTCAACTGGGGCAACAAATCAGGGTAACGGTCATAGAAGCCTGGATCAGAGCAGTGGAAGTGGGGACACAAATAGATTAAAAGATAGTTTGAAAGTAGAGTCTTTAGTATTTGATAACTTTTTTGATGTTTAGTGGTAAATGAGAGGGAAAGAATAAAAATTGACTTCGGATCTAAAGACAGTAATAGAAATAAGAACACGGATGGAATATTTCGGTAGGCAAGATGTTAAGTTCAGCTTTGTGGCTCCCCTGGGACATCCAAACAAAAATGTTCACCTAGTACTGCCAGAAATAAAGGTATAGAGCTTGGAAATGCGTCCAGCTGGAGTTCTTTGCCTAGGGATGAATGCTAAAGCTTTGAGAGAAGCTGCAACTTCCGAAGAAAATACAAGAAATCACAGATAAAATCTTGAGGGAATTTCTACCAGCACCCAAAAGGAGAGTAACCAAATTCACAGCAACAATGGTTAGCATGTATTGATGGTTTACTATGTCTCAGGCATTGTTCTAAGAGTGATGAATATATTAATGCATGTAATCACCACATCAATCATATGTAGTCCAGGCACATTCTTTATCCTCCTTTTACAGATGAGAAAACTGAGTTACAGAGATATTGCATAACTTACCAAAGGTCATGTTTATGAGGCACAGCCTAGCTTTGAACCCAGACAGCCTGGCCAGCAATACTGCTCTCAGCAGAAGAAGGTCCACTGGACTGCATGCTAAAGGAAGGTCAGAGAAATTGAGAACTGAGAAGAACAAGGTTTAAAGTGGACTGAGACAAAAATGGGTGTCAGGACACAAGAAGCTGAAACATAAGAAGATGGGCTGGTAAACAGAGGAAGCGCCGACAGTGAATCCAATACACTGAATGTCGGTTGTGTGGTAGACAGAATGATGGCTCTGCTAAAATGCCCAACTCTTCATCTCTGGAACCTGTGAATATGTCACCTTACATGGGACTAACAGGGACTTTGCAGATTTAAGGACTTTGAAATGGAGGGGTTATCCTGGGATATCCAAAAGGAAGGGGGGCAATCTAATCACATAAGACCTCAAAAACAGAGAACCTTTGGTGGCTTGGATCAGAGAGACATTATGTTGCTGGCTTCAAACATGAAAGAGGGACCATGAGTCTAGGGATGTGGCAGCCCTAGGAGCTGGAAAAGGCACCGAGGCTGGGTATGGTGGCTCATGCCTGTAATCCCAGTATTCTGGGAGGCCAAGGCGGGCGGATCACCTGAGGTCAGGAGTTCAAGACCAGCCTGGACAACATGGTGAAACCCCACCTCTACTACAAATACTAAAAATAGCTGGGCATGGTTGCGCATGCCTGTAATCCCAGCTACTCGGGGGGCTGAGGCGGGAGAATCGCTTGAATGCGGGAGGCAGAGATTACAGTGAGCTGAGATCGCACCACTGCACTCCAGCCTGGGTGATAGAGCGAGATTCCATCCCAAAAAACAAAGGCCATAAAACAGATTCTCCCCTAGAGTCTCCAGAAAGACAGAAGGAACACAGCCCAGCTAATACTTTGATTTTGGCCCAGTGAGACCTGCACCAGACATCTAACTCACAGAAATGTAAGATAAATTGGTGACATTTTAAGGCACTGAGTGTGTGGTAATTTGTTACAGAAGCAATAAAAAACTAATACAGGTCCCCACCTCTCCTTAATCTAATCAATATTCTCAAAAATGCCCCTGGTCCATCAGCTTAACCCAGGTCACAGCCACTGATAGGCCTTCCCCAAAGTCAGCACAGCCTCCAAGGCAGTGGTCATGGGGGGCCCTGTGGAGGAGGGAGACTGTGAAGCTGCCCTGTCTGAATTTCCTTAATCGATATTTAATTTCCTTAACTGACCATAAGACAAATGTTAATTCAGAGAAGCCTAAAAATTTATCAAAACTTCACAATGCAAGCCACTAATTATTTACTGACTACAGTTCTATGCTAACAATGGTGCAATTAGATCTTTAGCCATATAATGTGCCTCTATAGACAGTTGGTTTAACAAATGTTTGAAAAACAGAAACAACATGACATTAAATTGCATGAACTTTGAAATGGAACTTTTTAATCAAATCTACAATGATTAATTCATAGAACCCATATATGTTATTTATGTGATTTGAGTTATAAAGCTGATCTTGACTAATTTCAGCACTGACTTAATTACATTTCTGATATGGTTAATAATTAATGAAAATCCCTCCAGAGGACAACCGTTGTATTTTAAGGCCCATTTGAAATGCCTTAAAATATTTAAAAATTGTGTTCCATTTTCCCCATTTAAAATAATTTACCCCCTACTTATTTAGCAAAAGGATTTGAGATAGCTCAAAACAAGGCACATATCCACGTTTTCATTCTATATGATCTTTTTTAAAAGTTGTTTTGTCAACATTGCTTCCTACTGCTGAAAGTCTGTCCTTAAAGTCAAATTTCAATATATTGAGTCAAGTAGCAGATAGTAATGTGAATAGTGTAAGCCTACACTATCACATTTTGCCAGTACCTAATTTAGTAAATGTGGAACAGCAAGATCAGGACTCATTAAAAATGAGGAGGGAAGGAAAAAATAAACATGTCATTACTATTGCTTTTATGCACGTACAAGAGGCCACTTATCCCAAAACCCATTGGCATTAAATACTTTATCAGTAGGCTATCTCTCTCTTAGATTAGAGGTCAGTAAGCAATGGCTTCTGGGCCATCTGGCCTACCATCTGTTTTTGTAAATAAAGTTTTATTGAAACACAGATACATTTGTTTACTATCATCTATGGCTGCTTTTGCACTTTAACAGAGTTAAACAGTCATGACAGAGACCTTATGGCCCTTAAGGCTGAAAATATTTACTATCTGATCTTTAAAGAAGTTCTCCTACTTCACTCTTAGATCAATAGGTGCTAAGGTATTTGGAAAACATTGCTCAGATAATTGGAGCTACTGAAGTAAACTCTCTCTCAAATGTTTTACGGACTGTATTTGCTGTTTGAAATTTTAGAGCTTACTGGCCTGAAATTCATAGACTTTTGTACTTATCTCCTCTTGTTTTATTTTATAAGACATGGCAAGATACTTGTGTCGCAGCTTGGCTTTTCCATAAACGATTGTGGTAGTTAGGAGCACAATAGGGAATCAACAAAGAGCATAAACAGAGCTCCAGCTGGGTGCGGTGGCTCACACCTGTAATCCCAGCAATTTGGGAGGCCAAGACGGACAGATCACCTGAGGTCAGGAGTTCAAGACCAGCCTGGCCAACATGGAGAAACCTCGTCTCTACTAAAAAATACAAAACTTAGCCAGGCACAGTGGCGGGTGCCTATAATCCTAGCTACTCAGGAGGCTGAGGAAGGGAGAACTGCTTGAACCCGGGAGGCAGAGGTTGCAGAGAGCCAAGATCATGCCACTGCACTCCAGCCTGGGGAACAGAGAGAGACTCTGTCTCAAAAACAAACAAACAAAAAAACAAAAAACAAACAAAAAAAACAGAGTTCCAGAAGACTGCCAAAGGCTCACATCATCTAGTGGGTGGAGCTATAATCATCTTACATCATTCATGGACACAAAACTGAACTGGATGTAGGGTAATAATAGCTCATACTGAGATATCATCGTTAAAAATATGAACTCAGGAGCCAGACTGCAAGAGTTCAAGTCCTGCCTCCACTACTACCAACTATGTGTTTTTAATTAACCTCTAGAGGTCTCAGTTTTCTTATCTACGAAATAGAGATGATGATATCATCTACCTCATAGGATAGAACAGATTTGGGCATATAGCAAAGGCCATAAAAGATGCTGGTTATTCACAATTATGTATTAACAGTGTTATTATTGAGAAACGTTAATGGTTCAGAGTGTAGGCTCTGAAATTGGCCTATGTAGCTCGACAAGTATTCTGGTTCCACCCCGTTCAAGTTGTGTGACTTGGGACAAGTACGTAACTTGATCTAATTATGAGATTAATAGTAACATTTACCCCACAGGGTTGGTTTGAAGATTCCATGAGTTAATACATTTACTAATGCCTAGCACAGAGTAGCAATAAGTAACTCAATAAACATTAGATATTTTTAATATTATCTGTATTGGTATTATTATCATTAACATTTTTGTTGTTGTGCATCAGGCCTGATGCTCCACACTATGAGGTCAGTATTCTTGTCAATACCACTTTTAGAATAAAGCAATTTAGGCACAGGGTGGTTAAGTAACTGGTTCCATGCATTGAATTCTTAAGTGATGGAACTGAAATCTGAGCCTTTCTAAAGGCAGAATTAGGAGACCTTTGGGCCTGTATCACAAGAGAAGCAAATTTCTTCAAGGAAAACAGGCTGATTAAGAAACAGTGTTATGTATTAAATAACAGTTTCCATGACAACTGCTTTTCTCTCTTTTACATAATTGTGTTTGATTATAAAAACTCTACAAGTAGAGAATGTTAAGAGTTGGGAGAAAGCTCACTGATCGTCTGCTCCAACACCCTCATTTTCCAGATGAGGAAACTGAGGTTGAGAACAGTGCAATGACTGGCTCAAGATCACACAACAATTTCGGCAGCAGAGTAAAAACTAAACTCAGATCTGGCCTCAACCAGATACCATCACAATCCATGGCTAAGGCTTAATGGAAAAACCTAAATGAAAATCCTGTTACATTATGGCTTATTTGTTATCCAATAGTGGAGAATTTGAGAAGCAAATGCTTGGAGCATATTCTTTTTTTTTTTTTTCCTAAAGATAAAAACAGTTTTATTATAATGTTAATGTTAAAATTCAGAATATGAATATGCATTTGTATTATAATATAAAGGAATGGGTTTTTTTCTTCTTCCATTTCTTCCTGCCTTTCTTCTTTTTTTATTTTATTTTATTATTATTATACTTTAAGTTTTAGGGTACATGTGCACAACGTGCAGGTTTGTTACATATGTATACATGTGCCATGTTGGTGTGCTGTACCCATTAACTCGTCATTTAGCATTAGGTATATCTCCTAATGCTATCCCTCCCGCCTCCCCCCACCCCAAAACAGTCCCTGGTGTGTGATGTTCCCCTTCCTGTGTCCATGTAGGGACATGGATGAAACTGGAAACCATCATACTCAGCAAACTATCGCAAGGACAAAAAACCAAACACCGCATGTTCTCACTCATAGGTGGGAATTGAGCTTGGAGCATATTCTATAAATAAACTCTGAAGGACAGGCATCTATGTTCACAAAATCTGGCCCCTTTTAAGAGTACACTAGATGAAAATATGCATTGTTGTGGGGATACAAAGAGGGGGATTTTAGAGCCAATGGTCCATGCATAGATATCTTCAAAGATCAGACAGACTAAATACTCTCATAGCGCAAAGACCTGGCTAAAAGTTACATTCGCCATATAGACATCTTTTACTGAGGTCTTGCATATGGGCAACAACAGTGAGCACCTAGTGGCAGTGACCTTAACTTGCCCTCCTCACATAATCAAATCATCAGGAAGACAATGATCAAGCCATTAAAAAACATATGAAAGGCAGAAGCAGTGATTCATGCTGCTGTTTGGATTTAAAGTGAGAATGAAGTTCTAATCCTTGTGATTGTATTATTGTATAAATTAACTTTGGAGCATTACAACACTATATTTTCTGCGTTGTAATATAATATAGTGATTAAGAACAGATTCTGCAGCCAGACCCTCTGAGTTAAAGTCTGGACTTGCTCGGTGACCTTGAATGAGGCACCTCTACGCTTCAATCTCCTCATCTGTCAAATGAGGATAAAGACAATATCTACCTTATAAGTTATTAAGAAGATGAAATGCTTAGAAAGGCACCTGTCTCTAACAAATGCTCAATAAATATTAGCCATTGCTATTACTACCACTGCTATTACTGAGACATGACCTATAGAATTTAACTTCAGCCTTCTAGAGAAGCTCAGATACCAGTCAGTATTTCCTGTTTTGAGATGTTCTTCAAACTCTGACCTCTAATAACCTCCCAGAATCATCCCTGTTTCTCAATTCTGTCCATACCTCCTTCCCCTATGTTACCCACTTCTTCCTATAGCCATGCTAAACTACCCCTACAATGTGTACTGTGCTATATCACAGCTCCAAGAACATGTGTGTGCCATCTTCTCTAACTGGAGTGTGTTCTAATACCCTCAAACCCTGGTCCACTTTAACAAATCCCATTCCTCTTTCAATAGCTCAACCCTCATCATCCTGGAGTGTCTTCCCCAACTCCCGAGCAGATGAGGTTCTCCTCCCTGTGAACTTCAGTGAAATTTTACATACTTCTATTATAACCTGTATCCCATTACTTTGTAATTGCCTATACAAATAAAACTACTCCTCTGGAATGTGTTCTTTCATTAATATAAACCAAGTTTCTGACACTTAGAAGGCATTCAATAAATTCCTGTGGAAGGATGACAAAAAAGGGTGATTGGAGGAGCCAATTAACAGTTGTTGGATGCCTACCATGTCCCTATCATTTTGCCTGATGCTAGGAATACAAGATAAACTAGAAGTGGTTGCTGCCTTCATTTCTGCTGGTTGGCAAAAACGTCTGTGTATCTTTCTCTAAAGAATAAATAGAATACTTCACTTTTAATTCATCTAGTATTTATTAAGCATTTACAATGCACTGGGCTAGGTGCTGAAATAGATGCAAAAGAGGAAGATCTGCTCTCAACCCTGAGGGTCTCCCAATTTTACAGAGAAACAACAATTAGATTTACAAATTCTAATCCAATCCCTAATCCCCAAATGAAACTGGAGCCAATAGTTATCCAAAGTCATCTTCTCCATTAGTGGAAGTTGAATCTAACCTCCACACTGCTTAATTTCTTGTTCCTTTACCTAGAACATGATTTCCACTTGGAGAGAAATTATATAAAATAAAAAAGCTAAATTGAGTGCATAATAATACACCTAATATTCACACCACAAACATGTTCCAATGGCTTGCTTCACTGTCAGAAACTTTAATAGTGCTAGCAATTTTAGAAAGTGAGATTCATGGTAATAAATTCAAACACACTGATATCAAGCAAGCTCCTTTTCCCCACTGTGGGTCCATTCCTTTATTCATTTAACACTCTTTCCTGTATTAGGTACCCCAATATAGAGATAAAAGACAAACATCTCCCCTCCAGGGGCATAAAATCCTGCCTCATTTGTGTTACAGAAATAAAACACCTTCCCAGGGGTTGGTTACTTGAGATGCACTAACTCAGGTACCATATAGACCTTTTTGAGATCTGAAGGCTTAGAAATAAATATTGACTGGTGAATCAGAACATGCATCATTGAGAAGGTAAAATTTAAGATTCACCAGTGGTTAATTTGCCATGTTTAAAGAATTCTCTTCGCTTTTTGAAAGCAAATAATATAGGAAAAGGAAATGCCCCTTTCATTTAAAAAAATACATTTCAACAGAATAAAATAACTTCCAGCCAGAAAACAGCACGCCTTAGGGAGATTATTCTAGTATTGCCAGTAGACAATCATGCTAACTTGTATTCATTCCAATAGCTTCAGGAAAAAGTTATATACAGTATATTTTTATGGGTAGAGGAAGACTCAACTCAGTTAAGGGTCCTGCCTTCACTCAAAGTTGCTGAGATTCTGATTCAGTGGATGGGAACTAATTTTTAAATATTAACATCATTGGATATTTACACATGAGTGGGGCCCTCATTTAGTATCTCAGTGAGTGTTGATATTTTCACCAAGAGGTGTCATCAGGTACTTGAGGACAAATGGATAGAGAAGGCAAAGAGAATTAACACCTATTAAGTGCCCACCCTGTGTTGGACACAACATTGTGCATATACTATCTCACTGAATTCCCTGGACTATAATTCTTAGGAGGACAAAATTCAGTTTCATCAATATCTTCTCAGTATCTTCCTTACTGCTTGGCATACCATAGGTGCTCAGTTAATGCTGAACAGATTCTTACAACCATGCTGCAAGTCACATGGCCAGCAGGCAGGAGAGATGGTGATCAAACTCAGTGATACTTTTTCTATCCCATGAGCATATCTTCAATGCACAATATTGCTTTGTGATTCCCAAGGCTGGGATTTGGTAACTAGCTGAGATACCCTTTTTAGATAATGCTAGTAGGAAAAAAAAAGTTGAGATACAAATTACAGTATTGCTTATTCACCTGCTCGCCACTAGGGGAAGGGATAGAAGTTTGCAGAATCTACACTTTTTATTCCATGATATTAAGAACAGCTCTGAAATATGACATACTGCTTAAGAGCCTGGAGTCGAGGGTCAGAGAAGATTTATGTGCAAACTCTGTCCATTACTAGCAAGTTACTTTCTTCTCTGAACCCTAGTCCCTTCATCTGTAAAATAAGAGCCATAACAGAACCAATCATGTCTAAACTCAACTATCCCTCTACTCTGTACTTGCACCTGAGCAGCTGAAAGATGCTGGAGAAAAAAACATCACTCGACGATGTTGACAGCAAATGGATATTCACAAAATCTCAAATGGCAACTCAGCACAGGATTGCCCAGCAATCTTACCATCTTCTAGTAAATTAACCTTTCAGTTCTCTGAAGTTACTCTTACCAAACTCATGACTCCTCCCACCACCTCAGCTGCTGACCTCACCTCATATTCCATTAAGAAAAAAAAAAAAGCACGTGGTCTAGAACCAACCCCAAATTGCCAACCTTCTGGAACCCATAGACTCTGCTTTCTCTGTTTCTTAAAAATTAAGGTATATTTGGAAAATAAAAATTATATATATTTATGCTATAAAATGTGATGATTTGATATATATATATAATATCATATATTATAGAATGATTAAATCAAGCTAATTAGTATATCCAGCACCTCATACACTTATCTTTTTTTGTGATTATAACATTTAAAATCTAATCTCTTGGCAATTTTCAAATATACCATATATTATTATTAACTATAGTCATCATGCTGTACAATAGATCTCCAGAACTTAGCCTTCCTGTCTCACCAAAACTTTGTGCCCGTTGAACAACAGCTCTCCTTTATCCGTCCCCTACCCTCAGCCCCTGGCAATCATCATTCTACTCTCTGCTTCTATGAGTTTTATTTTTTAATATTCCACATATAAGTGAGATCATGCAGTATTTGTCTTTCAGTACCTGGCTTATTTCATTTAGCATAATATCCTCCAGGTTCATCCATTTTGTCACAAATGACAAAATTTCTTACTTTTTTAGATCCCGAACAACCAAGGCAATCTTGCGCAAAAAGAACAAAGCTAGAAGCATCACATTATTTGATTTCAAAACATATTACATAGCTAAAGTAATCAAAATAGTATGGTACTGGCATAAAAACAGGCACATCAACCAATGGAAGGGAATAGAAAATCCAGTGATAAACCCATGCATTTATGGTCAACTGATTTCCAACAAAGGTTCCAAGAACATATGTGGAGAAAGGATAGTCTCTTCAATACATGGTCTTGAGAAATCTGCCTTCTCTGCTTTTGAAATGGAATCACATGACTATTCTTACAGCCAGCTCCTCCACATGTCCTCCATTGTCCTTGACTTACGTACTTTCCCTGTAATTCTTCCCTTTCTCCACTGCATCATCAGTTTCTCCCTCTCTCCTGAATCCCTCACATCAGCAGACAAACATTTTTAATTTCTCTCATTTTTCAAAAACATGCTTTGACTCAGCACAACCTTCCAGCTATCATCCCATTTCCCTGCTCCCTGCAGGGGGAAACTGTGGCCATAGGCAGCTCTCCTCTTTTCAGCTCATTCCAACAGGATTTTTATCCTCCCCCACTCCACCCTTGGACATGGCTCTTGTCGACATCACTAGCAATTCCATCTTGATAATTCCCACTGTTTTTTTTTTTTTTTTTTGGTCTTTATATTCCTTGATCTCTCACAATCTCTTTCTTCTCAAAAGGTTTTCTTTTCCTTGCCTTCAGAACCCCACACTTACAAGTTTCCACTGCCTCAAAAAGAATTCCTCCCAGGACAAGCTACATAATTTGTAGGGCCTGGCGAAAAATAAAAATACGGAGCACTTACTAAGTAATTTATTAAAAATTTCAAGACTGCAACAGTAAACCATTACATCAAGTATGGGACCTTTCCATGTAGGAGAGCCCTGTGGGACTGCATGGGTTGCCCACTCATGAAGCTGGCTCTGGTTGTACTTTGTTTAAAAATTAAGATTTGTTTATTCAACTGACTCTTTGGCATCTCCACTAGGATGTCTAAGAGGTATTTCAAACTTGACATGGCCAGAGCAAACTGTTAAGTTATCCCCACCCCCCAACCCACAAAATGACCTCTCTACCTCAGTGCTCTGATTTCAATAAATGGCATCCTTTATCCTCCCAGTTGCTCATGCCCAAAATCTGAAAGTCATTCTTGAATCCTCTGTTGCTCTTATATCCCAGATTCAGTCCATCAGCAAATCCTATTGACTTTACCTTTAAAATATATCAGTAATCTGATCAACTTTTTACCACGTCTACTGTCTCCACTCTGGCTCAATGTCTCTGACACATTACAGGAGAACAATAAATATTTGTCAATAGGAAATTGGGTGAATGAGGCTGTTGTGAAAATTTTGAAGCAGTTTAGGGGCAGTTATAGATAATGTGATTAATTTTTAAAAGTTTATCATCATTGTGGTTAGTTATTCACCAAACCCAGTTCCTTCTTTTCCTCTGGACACACAGCTAGACGACATTTCTAGGCTCCCTTGTAGTACGTGTCTGAGTTCTGGTCAGAAGTGATGTATGCTGCCCTGGCTCATAGAACATTCCTGCGTGAAATCACCTACCCTTTCTCTTCATGGCTTCCTGTCTGGATGGTGTACCCCGGGTTTCACTTTTAAACAACCAGATCTCACGAGAACTCACTCACTATCACAAGAACAGTAAGGGGAAAATCCACCGCCATGATCCAGTCACCTCCCACCAGGTCCCTCCTCCAACACTGAGGATTACAATTCGACATGAGGTGGGCAGGCACAAAACCCAAACCACATATTCCACCTCTGGCCCCTCCCAAATCTCATGTCCTTCTCACATTGCAAAATACAATCATCCCTTCTCAACAGTTCCTCAAAGCCTTGACTCATTTCATCATTAATTCAAAACTCCATGGTCCAAAGTCTCATCTGAGACAAGGCAAGTCCCTTCTGCCTAGGAGCCTGTAAAATCAAAAACAAGTTAGTTACTTTCAAGATACAATGAGGGTACAGGCATTGGGGAAATACACCCAATCAAAAGGAGAAATCAGCCAAAACTAAGGGGCTACAGGACCCATACAAGTTCAAAACCAAGCAGGGCAGCTTAAAACTCCTGGCTGGGTGTGGTGGCTCACGCATGGAATCCCAGAACTTTGGGAGGCTGAGGCGGGCAGATGACTTGAGGCCAGGAGTTTGAGACCAGCCTGACCAACATGGCAAAACCCTGTCTCTACTAAAAATATGAAAATTAGCCAGGCAGGTTGGTGCATACCTGTAATTCCATCTACTTGGGAGGTTGAGGCAGGAGCATCACTTGAACCCAGGAGGTAGAGGTTGCAGTGAGCCAAGATCATGCCACTGCATTCCAGCCTGGGCAGCAGAGTGAGACTCTGTCTCAAAAAAATAAAAATAAAAAATAAAAAAACTTAAAACTCCAAAATAATCTCCTTTGACTTCATGTCTCATATCCTGGCCACCTGATGCAAGGGCTAGGCTCCCAAGGCCTTAGGCAGCTCTGCCCCTGTGGCTATACAGGGATCAGCTCCCATGGCTGCTACCAAGGATTGGTATAGATTGCCTGCAGCTTTTCCAGGCACATGGTACAAGTTGCCAGTGGATCTACCATTCTGGGTTCCAGAGGACAGTGGCCCTCTTCTCACAGCTCCACAAGGCAGTGCCCCAGTGAAGGACTCTGTGTGGGGGACTCCAACCTCACATTTTCCCTCCACACTGCCCTAGTAGAGGTTCTCCATGAGGACTCCACCCCTGCAGCAGACTGCTGGCTGGACATCCAGCCATTTCCATACATCCTCTGAAATCTAGGCAGAGGTTCCCAAGCCTCAACTCTTGCCCTCTGTGCACAAGAAGGCTTAACACCATGTGGAAGCTACCAACGCTTATGGCTGGCACCTTCCGTAGCAGTGGCCTAAGATGTATCTAGGGCCCTTTTAGCCACAGCTGGAGCTGGAGCAGCTAGGACACAGGGAGCAGTGTCCTGAGGTAGCGCAGGTCAGCGGGGCCCTGGGCCCAGTCCGCAAAACCACTCTTCCCTCCTAGGCCTCTGACCCTATGATGGGAGGAGCTGCTCTGAAATGCCTTTGAGGCATTTTCCCCATTGTCTTGGCTATTAACATTCAGCTCCTTTTCACTTATGCAAATTTCTGCAGCCAGCTTGAATTCTTCCCCAGAAAATGGATTTTTCTTCTCTACCACATAGCTGGGCTGGCATATTTTCAAAATTTTTACACTCTACTTCCCTTTTAAATATAAGTTCCAGTACCAGGTCATTTCTTGGCTCACAAATATAAATATGGGCTGCTAGAAGCAGCCACACCACATCTTCAATGTTTTGCTGCTTAGACATTTCTTTAACCAGAAACCCTAAATCACCACTCTTAAATTCAAAGTTCCACAGATCTCTAGGGCAGGGGCATGATACCTCCAACCTCTTTCCTAGTGTATAACAAAAGTGACCTTTGCTCCAGTTCCCAATAAGTTACTCATTTCCATCTGAGACCTCCCCAGCCTGGACCTCATTGACCATATTGCTATCAGCATTTTGGTTACAACAACTTAACAAGTTTCTAGGAAATTCCAAACTTTCCCCCAGTTGTCTTCCTCTGAGCCCTCCATACTCTTTCAACTTCTGCCCATTACCCAGTTCCAAAGGCACTTCCACATTTTCAGGTATCTTTGCAGAAATGCCCACTCCCAGTACCAATTTGCTGTATTAGTCTATTCTCACATTGCTATAAAGAACTAACTGAGACTAGGTACTTTATAAAGAAAAAAGGTTTAATTGACTCACAATTCCACAGGTTGTACAGGAAGCATGGCTGGGGAGGCCTCAAGAAACTTAAAACCATGGCAGAAGGCAAAAGGGAAGCAGGCATGGTCTTATGTGGCCAAAGAAGGAGGAAGAAAGACAAGAGGGAGGTGCTGCACACTTTTAAACAACCAGATCTTGTGAGAACTCACTATCACAAGAACAGCAAGGAGGAAATCCGCCCCCATGATCAAATCACCTCCCACTAGGCCCCTCCTCCAACACTGGGATTACAATTCTACATGAGATTTGGACAGGGACATACATCCAAACCACATCAGGATAGAATATACTTTACTTCCCATGGGAACCTCAGGAAAACATTGGATTATGATGTGATAATTACTTTCAATGACTTGTAGAAGTTATACAACTAAGTGCTTTTCAGATGGCCAACATGTCCCATTTTTACAAAATTATAGCTGCCGAAATATAAAGTAAAAAGCAGGTCATTTGTGTGGCTTTTTCCTAGCATCATACAAATGAACAAGGTTCTTACTATAACATGTTAATTTACTGAAGCTAAAGGAGGAGATAATTGTACTTGCATTTGTTTTTAATGACTTGCTTAGCTGAAAACGTATGTTAATCCCATAGCTAATCATCATAATCACTTAGCTTCATAAAATGAAATGCAACTGGCTACCTAGACACATAAATATATGTTCCTGACCACACTTGGTATATGAGAATTGGTCAGAAAATAAAGCTGATCTTGAGATCACGTTTTCACTCTCCCTGGGGGCTGCTGGGCATCTTTCAACTCCCCTGTCCCACTCAATCTCCTTCTATTTCCACTCTGACTATGACAGGATCCATCATGTTGTGATGCAATTGTTTTATTATGTCTATCTTAGGAAAGGGAAGCTGAAGGGAAAGGTGGGAACAAAGTCTTAGTCTTCTTGGATTCTCAAAGCTTAATTCAGAGCTTGCCATTTAGTAAGGTATTCAATAAATGTTGAATGAATGAATGAATGAATAATATTGAGAAAGTTAATCCAAGGCCATTTGGCTACTAATACTAAGACTAGGAAAACAGCATCATCGATACAACATAAATTCAGTAATTTGAGTTATTAGTGGCAATCATATATAAATGCAATGGCATACCAGGTAAGATTGCTACTCAAAATTTATTCAGTGGCCATGATACACCAAGCAGCCCTTTTTTATAAACTAAATGTTTATGACCCTCCAAAATTCATATGTTGAAAGTTTAATCCTCAATGTGATGACATTAGGAGGTAGGACCTTTGGGAGGTGATTAGGTCATGAGTGCAGAGCCCCCACCCCAAACCAAGAATGGAATTAGTGCTCTTATAAAAGAGACTCCAGAGAGCTCCCTCATCCTTTGCACCATGTGAGAATGCAGTGAGAAGATGGCTATGTATGAACCAGGAAGCTGGCCCTCACCAGACACCAAATCTGTCAGTGCTTGGATATTGGACCTCCCAGCCTCCAAAACTGCAAGAGATAAATTTCTGTTGTTTGTAAGCCACCCAATCAGAGTGTATGCAGAATGGTGAATAATTAACAGTCCTTGCTGTCAGGGCATTCAGTCTACAGAAGGAAAAAGACTTGTAAAAGGTTACAAACCACCAGGTGCTCAGTGCTATAACAGAAGGGCATATAAAGTGCATTGGGGCACAGCTCTAAGAACAGCTGATTGCCTTTAGCAGTCTTAAAAATCACTGTGCAGAGAAGCTGACTTTCATGCTGTAAACTGCAGGGTGCCAACAAGTTTGGCACAAAGTGGGGTGGGGGGTTCTTACCAAACAATATCTCATTTATCTTATACAGAGTTTGATTGAAGAAACTGCTATCTATTTTGGAATACGGCCTAGAAAGCTTCATAGGCACACTGAATTATGTAATACCTCTTTGTCTCATCTTGTCCTTCTTTCAGTAAAACAGACATGATAAATGACCTTCTTTCTTTGAGGAACAGCTCATCAAAGATTTAAGGTGATATGAAAACTCAGTAATCACAAAGTGATGAATGCAGACAGACCATCAAGAACAGCCCTAGTAAAAGGATTTCCAAGGAACAATTAATATTTGGAAATAGTGATGTTAAGAGGTATAAGTGACACCTATTAGATGAGGTTTTTTGTCATCTCCTACCACTAGGTAGCAATAACGAAATGAAGGCAGAGAATAAGTATATCTATTCTCCAGATAAATAAGGACACATCTCAATAATACCTGAAAAAATATCACTGTGAAGAAGAAGACTTCTTTAAAACCAATAAGCCTATACTATTAACTTATGGAATCCTGTATAATTATACATTTGGAACTCTAATGTGACTTCAAAAATAAATAAGAAAATAGTTCCTGCCTTGAACAGCTCCTGCATATAGAAGCCTAGATATTGATTTCCTGGACTATAGATCACCCTGCCATACTACAAAAGTTTACTTATTGTCCTCCAGTCCATAAAAAGAGTTTTCAAACCCCAATTAAAATTTAAATGAAAGCAATCATCAGATAAAAGTGACCCACAGGATAAGGGATTAAAATAAATTATACTGTGATGGTATTTGAAAGTAAGAAAATAGAGAATCAGGATGGTTTTCTTAAAAAAAAATCCTGCAAATACATGGAATGACAAACTGTCATGTTTCAAGGGCTATGATGTAAAAAAAAATAATGAAAACTTAAAATAAATCCTCACTATATTAATTTAGTTTTGAATAGACAACCAATGCTGCTTAACTGAATTCCATCAGCTGTAGAATATGATAAGGATAACTAAAGAAAGGGATGTAATTATTTTGCAGACTTTTAAAAATAGGAGTCATATGATGCTATGGGGTTTTAAATAAGGTTTACCTTTGAAATACAATTTGCTGCATAACTGCACAAAATATTAGAGGAAAATGTCAAAAGTGATGACTGTGTTGCTTAACTTAGGATCCCAGCTTCTTTCCAGCAACCCTTTCCACAGTTATGCCTGTCTCCAAGTCCCAGTAACTGCTCCTCATCATCACTGGGTTAGGCCTCTATAACCCTTCATGAATTTTTCCTCAACTATCCCAATTTGAGCATTCTGTTTTCTATTGAGATCCTGAAGTGGGATTCCAGGATTAGATTGATCATGTTGTTGAGAAACACAGGTAGAACCACTTTGCCAGGAAAAAACAGAAAACAAATAATCCAGGACAAGTGGTGACATCAGTTATTCAAGTTGTCTCTAGCAGTGGTAGGAGATGAAATGCAGGTGGAAGGGGAGATGCTGGGAGGTCAGTGGCAGAGGCACTTAATTGCTATGGTTACAGCAGTGACTATAAAGACTGTTGAGTCTCTTGGCTTCTTCTCACAGCCTTAGAAGGTGTACAAAAGGAAAATGAGAAACTGAAATCTCTGAATGTACAATTGAGAGCACGCATAGAAAAAATCAGAAAGTCCCTGTAGCTATTCAGATGGTATAACTGCAGCAACCCCTCATTTTCCAGAGTCCCACGGCAGATATGGCTGAGGACAAAGCTCAGAGCCTAACAAAAGTTGCAGAGCTGCAGCACCAAGTACATGATCAGCTCATACGAGGGGTCTCATATCAAGGGAATGTGACCCTGATAACTGGATTGCGATCATTTGGGCAGACACGGACAAATATGAAAACTTCGAACCCACAAAATCTTCTTGCCCATGGGGACAGATTTGTCCTCCCTGTCTAAGAAGAACAGCTTTTCCATGCATAATAACCTGCTGGTCATTCCCTCAGGACTCATTCCTATCACCTCTCACTGCCTCTTGATCTAAGACTCAGGTCCAAGCACAGCTCAGAGGGAGAAATATGAGACAGCCTACATCCCTTACATAAGAAATCTTTCATAAGATTTATAGAACCTCACACCAGTCTATATTGGCAGGAGCCAGGAGAGAAGGTATGAGTTTCGAAAGGCATTGGATCAATGAGGACAAAACATAAGGCTTGATCTCATTAAATTCACTCATGGGATATACTCACCCCGGATTTAGGATTCAGTGTTTCAGGTTGAGTACCAGGGAGTGGCATCAGTAATCTACCTAATTGGACAATTAAAGCCTGGACTCAAGGGTAGTCTGTGTTTATGTGGTTCAACTGAACTTCTGTGGCATCCTGTGGAGAAGGGGGTTGGCAAACTACAGACTGTGGGCCACATCTGGCCTGCTGTCTGTTTCTGTATGGCCTGAAAGGTAAGAATGGTTTTTACAATTTTTAAATGTTAAACAAACAAACAAAACTATCAGCCTTTGGCAAGAATACCTGTTGAATTTTGCCTCTTGGCTCACAAAGCCTAAAATATTTATGATCTGGTCCTGAGCTGATCCCTGCTGGAGAGGAAGAAATCTGAAGTCTCAGAAATGGGAGTGGTGAAGTGGACCTAGGATGAGCAACAGCCATTCTCTAACCACAACTCCCACAAGGGGGAGGAGGAGTATTCTTGGAAAGCTTGTGGTGGCTGCCCTGGGTGTGGTGGCTTTCTTCTGCAGCCTGGAAAATGGGATGGGGGTGGCTGAAATGGAATCAGTGTCTTTGTTATCAATGGAGATAAAGGAACCCAAGAGTAAGGGAGACCAACTGGTTGGCGGCATTTAACTATCAGAAATAAGGTAAATGAAACAAACCACAGGGATGAGTGGTAATCAAAATCTTATTCCACAGGGATCTGTGGTGGTGACTAAATAATCTCAGAAATAGAAACAAAAATAGATGGACCACCTACTAAGGTGCTACTTGGCATATAGAAGAGACAAAATTCTACTCTCGTGGGCTGGGACCTAATGCAGTCACCATAGTAAGGATTTTAGCCTCTCACCAAGTTCCACTGACCTAGAGCCTCTCAATAGAGAAAGTGGCTGGGTGTCTTTGAGAGGGACCCAACAATGCTGCCTCAGGTGCATGCTGTGACTCGCCCTTCAAGCCTCCCACATAGCATCCTATGGCTGTTTCCAGGGTGACTGTGCACTGAAGAAAGAAAGGCTCAGGCTTTCCCCAGGTTAGCTGTGGGTCTAGACTTAAGTTGCTCTCTGAAATATTGCTGTGGTACACCATTCAAATGGGAGGCTTGTGGAGACAGGTGACAGAGTCTTGGCCTGAGTCCATCTCAGAGTGGGTCCAACGGCACCAGAGATCCATCCTGATGTTATTTCCCCAGTACCATATTGTATAGTAGAAGCAGATATATTTATCAACTGGCAAAACACTACATTGGTTTACTGATTCATTGCATGAGGGCAATGAAAGAGTGCAAAATGACACTCCTAAAACTGCCCCTCCCTGTAGAATAAACTAAGAACAAAGCCACACACCTGGAGGAATTGCAGAGCTTGGTGCTACTATCCAGGACTCAAAGAATGTAGGCATAATTCCTATGTTATCTTCATTTAATTCAGCAACAGTCAGACAGATGTGTGCTGGTTAATTTTATGTGTCAACCTGACTGGGCCATGGGGTGTCCATATATTTGGTTAAACGTCATTCTGAGTGTGTGTGTGTGTGTGTGTGTGAGAGAGAGAGAGACAGAGAGAGAGTTTTTCTGGATGAGACTAACATTGGAATGGGTAGACCGAGTAAAGCAGTTTGTCCTCTACAGGCCTTCTTTAACCCACTGAAACACTGAATAGACCAAAGGGACTGAATAATGAAGAACTAACTCTCTACACCCGACTGTCTTTGAGCTGGGGCATCAGTTTTCTCCTGCCTTTGGACTCAGACTCAGGCTAGACCTTATTCCATTGGCTCGCCTACTGCTCAGGCCTTTGGACATGAACTGAAAATATACCACTGGTGGCTCTCCTGGGTCTCCAGTTTGCTTAATGCTCATCTGGGCAATATACTGATTCTGGTTCTCTGGAGAACCTTGACTGATACAAGATGGTCTGAAGACATGAAGACCGTTAAGCAAGAGTCATAAACTGAACCAAGTGATATTGCCAATCACAACTATGGCTCCAGAAGTGATATTTTTATTGCAGCAATCAACACAGAGTGTGGTGCCTGGTATGTAGCTACTGACCAGACTAATGTACTCATGCCCTCACCTCCCACCTCCAGCCCCATCAGTAAAGAAAATCGGGATCCATTTGCTTACTGCGGATAACAGTACACCTTTACTGTATCAGGCCTCTCTGTCTTGTTAGTGTCTAGAGCAAAGGCTCAATTACAGTGGGAGCTAGGAGAGGAGACAACTTCTACAAAGTTGGGCTGCTGTCCCACAGAATTTAGTATATGCATTCAAAAAGCATTTTACATAAACAGTATTTTGTATAACGTATCTCCTCCTCAGCCAGAATGCACAGGACCAGGAACAAGGAGAGGTATCAGTGTTCTTATCCTAACTCTAACCCTAATCACTAACTATCCACTTACAGAATTTTTGCTTCTCATCTCTATGACCTTGAGCTTGACCACATGACCTTGGAAGTCCTCATGTTTAATGTAGAAATGCTTCTATCAGGAAACACAGCCACAATTCCATTAAGTTGGAAGCAAAGACAGCCCCTAGGTAGTTTGGATTCATCATCCTACTGAACTAACACAGAGAAAAGGACTTACAGAGTAAGCCCAACTACCAGGGAGCAGCTGGGTTGCTGATACAACATTGAGGACCATGCTTGGAACCAAATAACACTGAAGCTATCCAAAAAGGTGGGGGCAGGGGTGGCACTGAGATTCTGCAGAACGAAGGTTTGGGTCACCGCCATCCAGCCACATCCAGCTGAGGAGCTGGAGAAGGTAAGGGGAACGTGGAGTCATGGTGAGAGTAGACACCTTATGCTTCAGAATCAAGAACTGCAGGTGCTATGCCTTCCATTATTCCTTTATTCCCCTGCCACTGCTTTGAAGAGGCAGTATGATTAAAGTAAAATTATCCAACATAGAGCCATAGCGATGAGACTTCCTGTGTCCTCTGTGAAGGGAACAGGAACTTTTCACTTAAAGATAAGCACATATACTGAGAGGACAAAGAGATGGACTCTTCTGGATAACATCCACTTCCCCTCCGTATCCTCTCTCCTCTCTTGTCAACCCTGCCCTCCACTCTAGAGGCTGACTGGAATGGACTCTGTCAATGGGCTCCCCTGCCGTGTGGCTTCTGCCAATGAAAGGCACTTGTAGAAGACAGGAAAGCTAAGGGAGAGAGATGTCAGAGTATTACTACCCCAGTGGCTTTCCTATGAAATCATCCACAGCTGGCTGTGTCTCCCCACCAAGTCTGGTAGCTCTGGCAATGGCTATCTCCTCCCCCAACCTTTTTCAGACCTGGGGGAGATAAACAGAGCTTCATTTACTAGTCCCACAGCGCTGTAATGTCCCTGTGCTTTTCTTACACGATACCCACACCTTTGCAAATAGTCCCTTTATTATACTCTTCTTGAATTATCCTAATTTGAGTGTTCCATCTGTTTCCTGCTGAGACCTGGATTTATACAGCATCAACAGGGTAAAATAAAATGCAAATTTTGTTTCCTGACTTTTTAATGATCACCATTCTAACTGGCATGAGATGATATCTCATTGTGCTTTTGATTTGCATTTCTCTAATGACCAGTGATGATGAGCTTTTTTTCATATGTTTGTTGGCCGCATAAATGTCCTTTTGAGATGTGTCTGTTCATATCCTTCGCCCACTTTTTGATGGGGTTGTTTTTTTCTCATAAATTTGTTTAAGTTTCTTGTAGATTATAGATATTAGCCCTTTGTCAGATGGATAGATTGCAAAAATTTTCTTCCATTCTGTAGGTTGCCTGCTCACTCTGATGATAGTTTCTTTAGCTGTGCAGAAGTTCTTTGGTTTAATTAGATCCCATTTGTCAACTTTGGCTTTTGTTGTCATTGCTTTTCGGAGAAATATAGACACTTTTACACTGTTGGCAGGAGTGTAAATTAGTTCAACCATTGTGGAAGACAGTGTGGCGATTCCTCAAGGATCTAGAATCAGAAATACCATTTGACCCAGCAATCCCATTACTGGGTATGTACCTAAAGGATTATAAATCATTCTACTATAAAGACACATGCACACATATGTTTATTGCAGCACTATTCACGATAGCAAAGACTTGGAACTAACCCAAATGCCCATCAATGATAGCCTGGATAAAGAAAATGTGGCACATATACACCATGGATGAAGCTGAAAACCATTCTCAGCAAACTAACACAGGAACAGAAAACCAAACACTGCATGTTCTCACTCATAAGTGGGAGTTGAACAATGAGGACACATGGACACAAGGAGGGGAACATCACACACTGGGGCCTGTCAGGGTGTCGGGGGTTAGGGGAGGGATAGCATTAGGAGAAATACCTAAAATGTAGATGACGGGTTGATGGGTGCAGCAAACCACCATGGCGCATGTATATCTATGTAACAAACCTGCACGTTCTGCACATGTATCTCAGAACTTAAAGTATAATAAAAAATGCCGATTTTGTGAGGAATTATTTTTTGCTTTACTGAACGCACACAATATGAAAGCTCCTTGAGGCAAAAGCAGGGCTTATGATGAAAGGTGTCTGTGTGTGGGTGTGTGAGTGAGAGGCTGAAGAGGGGATTCCTGCTGAGAATCCTACGAAAGGAAGAGGAAGCTACAGTGGCAATCAATGCGGGGGTGAGAACTTCATATCTATGTACCTGATTTACCAAGTGGGAACACTTTTAGGACAGAATTCTGGATAGGAATCAGAAATAATTGCTTGTAGTACATGGATGTAGCTTGAATATCCCATATCTATCTCCTCTTTTTCTGCTAACAGCAATCTTAATTTTTCTTGGGGGCCTGCCTTTCCTCCTCTACTTCCATGTAATTCGTGTAAAATGGACCTACCCCATACCCAGCTCCAAATGGGGGCAAGTGACCCAAGCCTGTCAGAATTAGAATATTGACTTTCAAAGGCCAATTAGAATATTGCATTCCTGTGGCCACTGTGATTGGTTCAAGTACGGGCATACGACATTGTTAGAGTCATATTTTGGGACTTCTGCTGCAGTGACCTGGAGAAAGGCATTTGGATGGCTGGAGTCACTGTCAGTCATCTTGCAACTAAAAGTAGACAGCCTGCTGTAGAAGGAAGCCAACCCAGAGGAAAACAGATGGAAAACAGATTGGAATAATTTGGAGGAGCTCTGATGACACTGTTCGAGCTCCCTGGATCAAACCGTGCCTGAAGGAATTTTCTTTTGCTCAAGGCACTTTGAATAAAAGATCTTACCATCAGTGATATATCAAGACAAGGCAGTGAGATCAGTCCACTGTGGGTATAGGCATTACGGGGTAGTTTATAAAGAATTTGAAAACAATAATAAAACCCATCATGAGTCACTCTGCTTTTTATTTTACCATTTCTGGCAATTTTAAACCTTATCAAAATAATCCTGTCCCAAAAATCTTTGTAATGGACAAAGTTTTAAGTAATTGCCACAATTATTGTTAAGTTTTAATAATATAATGCACGTATATTTGTACATAATGAATATATAATACATAATATACTAAGTTAGCCCTTTTACTTATCTATAAATAAACTTTATTCTAATTGTAAATTAATTCAGAGACCTCTCAACTATATAGTCAGCTTCCAAATATAAGTGAACTCAGCCGAAAGCCTTCATTTCAAGAGTAAGATTGTTACAGAAACTCAAAAGAGGTAGACTCAACTCAGCCTAGGGGAGTTAGGAGAGGCTTCCTAGTTAGAGTTAACACTTGAGCTGAGTATTGAAAGTCAATGCCTTCATTTCATGCCTGAATTATTATCTAACAGATGTCTAACTGGTCACCCTTTTTCTGTTCTGGTGACCAGTTCTTACCGTATCAGCCAGATCCTCTTAAGGCACCCTCTGCTCAAAAACTCACAACAGCTTCCTACCTTACTCAGGCTAAAGACTAAATAACACTGACCAAAAAGCCCTACAAGATCTGTATAATCCACTTCAGCCCATCCTGCTCTGATCCCCAATTACTCTGGCCTGCTTCCTCTTCTTTGAAGTTGCCAAGCATGCTCCTGCCTCAGCTCCTGCTGTCCCCTCTGTTGGGAACCTTTCTAGCTCCTCTTCACCCCATGTGCTCGTGGCTTTCTTCATCACTTCCTTAAGGTTTCAGCTGTTTACCTAACACCTTATCAGTTAGGCTTTTCCTGTCCTGAAATGATTAGTAACACTGTCCCACCCTACTTCCACAAACATAATACCTCTTCCCTCTTTATTATTCACTGTAGCACTTACAGCTGCCTGACTTACCGTATACAGTCATGCACTGCATAATGACGTTTCAGTCAATGATGGACAACATATATGATGGTGATCCCATGACATTATACCGAAGTGGAAAATTCCTATTACCTAGTGATGTCATAGCCATTATAATGTCATAGGGCAATGCATTACTCACATGTTTGCAGTGATACTGATGTGAACAAACCTACTGTGCTGCCAGTTGCATAAAAGTGTAGCACACACAATTATGTCCAGTATATAATACTTAATAATGATAATAAAGGCCAGGCACAGTGGCTCACGCCTGTAATCCCAGCACTTTGGGAGGCTGAGGTGGGCAAATCACCTGAGGTCAGGAGTTTGAGACCAGCCTGGTCAACATGGCGAAATCCCATCTCTACTAAAAATACAAAAATTAGCTGGGCATGGTGGCAGGCGCCTGTAATCCTAGCTACTTATGAGGCTGAGGCAAGAGAATCACTTGAACCTGGGAGGCGGAGATTGCAGTGAGCTGAGATTGCACCACTGCACTCCAGCCTGGGCAACAAAGCAAAATCCGTCTCAAATAATAATAATAAGGATAATAAAAAACTATGTTACTGGTTTATGTATTTACTGTACTACACTTTTTATTGTTATTTTAGAGTATACTCCTTCTATTTATTTAAAAATTTAACTGGGTGCAGTGGCACATGCCTATAGTTCCAGCTGCTACTCCAGAGGCTGAGGTGAGAGGATCGCTTGAGCCCAGGTGTTTGAGGCCAGCTTGGGCAACATAATGAGACCCCGTGGCTCTAAAAGAATACAAATTTAAAAATTAAAATTAAATTAAATTTAAAAGTTAACTAGAAAGCAGCTTCAGGCAGGTCCTTCAAGAAGTATTCCAGAAGGCATTGTTATCATGGATGACAGCTCCATGCATGTTATTGCCCCTGAAGACCTTCCAGTGGGACAAGATGTGGAGATGGAAGACAGTGATACTAATGTTCCTCACCCTGTGTAGGCCTACGCTAATGTGTGAGTTTGTATCTTAGTTCTTAACAAAGAAAGTTTAAAGAACAAAAATTCAAAATAGAAAAAAACTTATAGAATAAGAATGCAATGAAAGGAAATACTTTTGTACACCTGTGCAATGTGTGTTTAAGTGAAATATTATTACAAAAGAGTCAAAAACATTTTTTAAATAAGTTTATACAGCAAAAAGAGTAAGCTAAGGTTAATTTAACAGTGAAGAAACAAAAAAATTTAACCTTAGTGTAGACTAAATGTAGGATGTTTATAAAGTCTACAGTAGTATATGGTAATGTCCTAGGCCTTCATATTCATTTACTACTCACAAACTGATTCATCAAGAGCAATTTCCAGTTCCGCAGGCTTCATTCATGGTAAATGTCCTATACAAGTGTACCATTTTTTATCTTTTATACTGTATTTTTACTGTACCTTTTCTATGTTTAGATATGTTTAGATACACAAATACTTATCACTGTGTTACAATTGCCTACACTATTCAGTACAGTAACATGCTGTACAGGTTTGCAGCCTAGGAGCAATAGACCATATCACATACCCAAGGTGCATAGTAGGCTATACCATCTAGGTTTAAGTACACACTGTTGAGAGGTGAAGCCAGCTGGACATCCTGGTCGAATGGGGACTTGGAGAACTTTCCTGTCTTACAAGAGGTTTGTAAAATGCACCAATCAGTGCTCTGTAGCTAGCTAGAGGTTTGTAAAATGGGCCAATCAATGCTCTGTAAAATCAACCAATCAGTGCTCTCTAAAACGGACCAATCAGCAGGACATGGGTGGTGATAAATAAGGGAATAAAAGCTGGCCACCCAAGCCAGCAGCGGCAACTCTCTCAGGTCCCCTTCCATGCTGTGGAAGCTTTGTTCTTTCGCTCTTCACAATAAATCTTGCTGTTGCTCACTCTTTGGGTCTGTGCCATCTTTAAGAGCTGTAACACTCACCGCGAAGGTCCGCGGCCCCATTCTTGAAGTCAGCGAGAACACAAATGCACCAGAAGGAACGAACTCTGGACACACTGTGATAGTCATACAATGATAAAATCACTTAACAATGCATTTCTCAGAAAATATTCTCATCGTTAAGTGATGCATGACTGTATTTACTTTTTTATTTATCATCTGTCTCTTCCAATGAAATAGAAGTTCCAGGAAAGCTGTACTCACAAGGCTTTGAACAATGCCTGGTATAGAGGAGGCTCTTAAGAGATATTTGAGAATGAATTAATGAACCTGGGGAATTGCATTTTGGGTAATGGAGAAACTGCTTAGACAGGACAGAGACATAGGAAAGTAAGCTCCATTTAGAGAATCTAAATTTAGGAAGAAGGAAGTAGGCAAGCAGGGACCTGATGACAACAACCTTGTGTACATGTATGTTCCCAGATGCCTGAAATCCTTCCTGGGAAGAAACAGATAAAATAGGAGCTGGCAGGGGCCAAGGAGTAAGGTGAAGCTTTCACTGGACCAAGGAGAGCACACAAAGCAGCCACACTGATAATTTCCCAACACCTTAGAATAACATGTATTAGGCAGTTTTAAAACCAAATGAAACTCTTCACAATCCCTGGTGAGATAATCAACTTTGAATTAATAACTATACACTGGCCAAGCTTTAGCATCAGAATTTCCCCCTAATTATAATGTCCAGTGGAAAGGTGGTCACGATGCAAGCTCAGCATCAAACTCCAAACCAGTTTACATGCAAATGTATCATCCCTCCTGCCAAAGTTGAAATAATGGTACTTCCTTAAGTAAGGCTTTAAAGGCCCTGGTGGCAGGAAAAAATACAACTTGAGGGTCCACATTAAACTGCTTCTTTGTGCCTGAAAAATTAGCCCAGTAGCTACCAAGGGGTTGAAATGTTGAAAATGCACTTTGTACAATTATTTGTGATTGTACAAAGAGAATTTCCAATGCTAATTAATTTTATGATAGGTGATGGATGAATTTTAATGACAGGTGCTGAATATTTGGTACAGATATTAACAACATTAATATCTGTACAAATATTTATTCAGTACCTCTCATGTGCCAGGCAGTTTTCAGTCCTCTTCACTAATCTAATAGTATTAAGTACCCACTAAATGCCACACCTAGTGCCAGGTGCCAGGATTAAAAAAGAACGAGACCTTATCTCTGCCCTCACAGAGGCTCTGAAGCAGTGGCAGATCTATTATATAACACAAAACTATTGTGCGATAGGTTAGATGCTACTATATGGATGCAAACAAAATACATTCTTTTTGAGTGAATGCTTTAAAAACACTTTAAATGTTTGTCTTCTATTATCTTTGATCCATGTATCGGAGGAATTATGATTTGAATCTCTTAACTACATGAGATTATACATGCTAAAACTGTTTCAGTGTATTAGTCAGGACAGACTAGATTCTGCCACCATAACATTACTCCCCAAATCTCAGTGACTTAAAACAACAAAGGCTTCTTTCTTGCCCATGTCACCTGGCCATTATGAGTCAGCTGGTATGGGGAGGGTGCTCTGTTCACACTGTCACTTAAAGACTCAAGTTGATAGAGCAACTACTGTCAAAAATAAGACATCAAAATATGCTCTTAAAGCCACTGGCTTTTAAAGCTTCTTCTCAGAAGTGACACCTGTCACTGCCACTCACATTTAACTGGCTAAAACAAGTCAAGTCATATGGCCATATCCGAGTTCAGTGGAGTGCAGAAGAGCCTGGACCGAACTATACTAGCACGGAACGATACTGTACTATAGCCCAAAAAAGGAAGGGAGCCATATACTTGTGAACAGCCTGAAAGACTACCACAAAATGTAACAGAAATGGTAATGTGAAAGTGCCATTCTCTAATTTGTTTATTATGTTACTTTTTTGCCCTGAGACTTGACTTCCTCAAGCATTCCTCTTCTTCTCTGGCAGATAAAAATCCAGATACATAATGACTTCTTTTGTGAAAACCTAGTACGTGGCACTTCCCTGCTCCTATTTGGCAACTGTGGGAATCTTGCTTCCAATATATGTTTGAGTCACTCCTGTTGGGAGTAATTAGAAAATGAGGGAACTGGGGGTGGAAGCAGAAAAAGAAGCAGGGCAGATGGTAGAGTGGTTTTGCAATGAAGCTACTGGCAAGAAATAGGAAGCTGAGGGAAAATGGACCCCAAATCCTACTATGCCACTTCATATCTGTAAAAAGACAGAAAGCTAAATCTTATGAGAATTCTAAGTCACACAGGCATTAAATTTTTGAGTGGAGAACCAGGCAAAGAAAATAAAAACAAAAGCTCTTTTACATCAAAATATCTTTAAAAAGCAAAAGAAATCAAGAAGGATTTTTTTAAATTGAGGGAACTTAAAGTTTCTAAGAAGCAAAGGATACTAAGTAGAAATTAATTATACAATCCACACCCATATACATATAGATATTGCCAATCTTCTCTATTTGGTATGAGGCCTACAGTTTTATCTTAGACAGTCATGAGCCTCATAATGACGGACCACATATATGATGGCGGTCCCATAAAATTATAATATCATATTTTTACTGTACATTTTCTAGGTTTAGACACAAAAATACCACTGTGTTAAAGTTTTTTACAGTATTCAATACAGTAACATGTACAGGTTTACAGCCTAGGAGCAACAGGCCATACCATGTACCCTAGCTATGTAGTGGGCTATACTAGCTAAGCTTGTGTAAGTGCAGTCTTTCATGTACCCACAGTGATGAAATCAGCTAACAATGCATTTCTCAGACATATCACCATCATTAAGCAATACATGACTGTATTATTTATACAGGCTTTTATCACCTTCATTTAAGAAATCGCTCTTCCCAACTCATGAAGTCCTCAATATCAAATTCTCCTATCACCAGTGATAGAAATTATGTTTTCATACATATATCTCTGCTGAGGAATTAAATAGTCACATTTCATTTTCTTTTCTGGTTCTAGTGGTTTGATTTCAAATGAGGTTTGAATATTATCAATATTCAAATATTATCTTTGGTGGTTTGGTTTTGTCTTCTCACATTAACGTATTTAGTAAGAAAATTCTTTCAGAGTGATGTAGGTTATTTTATAATTTTGGTTTGAGGAG
The DNA here is from genome assembly GCF_000001405.40 of Homo sapiens. Taxonomy (NCBI): domain Eukaryota; kingdom Metazoa; phylum Chordata; class Mammalia; order Primates; family Hominidae; genus Homo; species Homo sapiens. The sequence continues at coordinate 100,857,791 of NC_000012.12, read as the reverse complement.
GCTGTAGTTCTATTACAAATTCAGAGGGCTTCAGAGGCAATCCAATTTCTTTCTTTCATCCCACATCCTGCCACTCCTCAAACACAGCGGATATAGAGGACTCAACTTCTTATTTTACATGGATAATTTAATGATGTCATTGTTTGACAGCTGAACCCAGAGAATCTCAAAGTGGCACCACACTTGTCTGCGTATCAGCTTCATGGGGAGGCAATATGGCCTGGAGTTTATAAATGAGGGCTTTGGAGTTGGCATGCCTCAGGGTTTGCATTGGAGTTAGTGACCGTGTGCAAGTAATTACATGCTCTGTGCCTTTGTTTCCTTGAGTAGGGATTATGGTAAGGATTAAGTCAGATCACGAATGTAAAGCATTTAACATCCTACATGGAAAACAGTGAGTACTCCATAAATATCAGTTGCTATTATTATCACCTAATGTTGTAATTATTCTGTACTAATGAGGTATACCATCCAAAAAAATATCTGATTCTGCTTTGTCTGTTGTACATTTGAGATTGTCCACTTAAGAAGGTTTTCTGAACATTATTAAATGCATTCTGTATATGTTCAAGCTTCTTAGCAACGAAGAGAAACCACTGAAAACTGGACAATGTGCATGGCCTCTGGCAGTGACCTCCAAATGTCCCTGGATGTTCTCTCAGGCATTTCAGGAACATTTGAGTCTCCATACGCCCCATGATGGTTTTTCCACTGCCACATGACACCACACTGCATGGCTTCTGCTGAAACAAAACCACTACCATCTTAAATCTTGATAAACTCACTAACTAGAGAAGAAAGAAGAAGTCTACCAGAGAATCATATTTTGCTCTTCTCTCCCTCACATCCTTACTCCCACATCCAGTCAATCAGAAAGTCCTGCCAAGTTTCCCTCTTAAATATTTTAAGATCCTCAGCAGCCCTAAAAAAATCAAGCCCATACTACTTACCATAGCAAACACCATCTAGCCCTGGTTTTATATCCTGCCACTCTCTGCCTCACATGTGATTCTTCCACAATGCGAAGCTGCTCTGATTCCCACATCCACCATGCTGATTCCTACCCCGTGCCTTTGCTCAGGCTGAAACTCCCTTCCCTCACCATGGGTGAGGTATACCTGGCAAGCTTCTTCCTATCCATCCTTTATGATTTAATAGAGCCACCATCTTCCACTCTTCATCCTTCTTGCCAAGCTGAAATAGCTTCCCCTCTTCTGTGTTCTCAAAATACCCTTTACTCATTTCTATCATTGTCTTATCCTGCCATTTTACAAATATTGATTTGTTTTTCCCCCAGCTGGCTACAGAAGTTGACCCTATACTGTATTTACTTTCTATCCTCCAAGCACTTACTACTGAGTTACAAACAGATGCTAAACAAATTTTTCTTGAAAAAGGGAGCAAGTGTGCCTTCAGATACACTCCTAGTGTAAACTTGGAAAATTTTCTTAATTTCCGTAGAAATTGTTTTCATCTATAAAATAGGAGACTGGTGGGTTCTGCCAATCACAGGCTACCATGAATCTACAGTGCATGCTTTTCTCAAACCAGCATTTGCAATTAGTGGCAGAAATGAAAATTCTGGCTGATTATAACCAAAATCCTTCGGCAAAGTACTTCAAGTCTCCTACAAGCTCCTTTCTCTCACCCATTGTTCCAGCCACACCATCGATTTCAATAGTTTCCAAATGCACTGTAGACTTTTTCATACCTCTGGCTGTTTCTCCGTTAAGTTCTCTCAGCCTGGAATATTATCCAGCCTCCCTTTGTACAGGGAAACTCCACCCCTTCCTCTATCCCTGGCTGAAATACAAGTTCTTCTATAAAATTCCTTCTTTGATTAGATTTTGACTGTACCACTTGCTCCATTTATCCTAATATTATAAAAGTTGATAGTATATCTATATCCTTGATTTCACTGTAAATTCCTTGAAACTTGAAGCAGGTCCTATTTGTCACTATGCCACTCAAAATGCACAGAACTTCCCACACAGTAGGTATTAAATTTATGTCGGTATGTGAATTTATTCCTAATGTCACTGTAAAATGAGAAAAGCCATTCAAAGGTCAAATTGGCAATGCATGGTTAAGAATTTTTAATTTAACATCCTCTCTTCTGAGATTTTAGCCGCAGAAAATAATGCAAACACTACAAATGCAAAAATATTCTGGGGAAATTTGTATAAACAAGGAAAAACAGAAAACAAACTCTGTAAGTATGATAGAGTACACCAATTCAAGAGGCTATCATAGAGCCATTAAAATGGTAATTTGAAGATTACAAAGAAATACGGGCAAAATGTAAACCAGAAGAGAGTTATAACACAAAATTAAATATATGGCATGATTGTAACAACAGCACCCTATGAATAAAGATTTGAAGGATATCTAGAGAATAAAAATAGATCATTTTGACTCAATATGGGATTATGGGGAAATTTTTCTATTTTTTATAAGCCTCTGATGTTAGCATAAAGTTGTTTTAGTAACTAATAATTAAAGCTAAAGGCAGAAAGTAGAAGTTATTGACAATAAAACAAATAAAGGGGAGAAAAAAGGATACGATGGACCAAAATGACATTACTAACACACTTAAATGATGCATGCAAATACAACAAAGAAAGCATTACAAAGCCAAGCTTGAAACTAAGAAATGGAATGCCCCAGCTATAGAAACAAAGAAGGCATTTGATTCCTGACCAAGAGGCAGGAATTGATGCACTTCAAATGGACTTTAGATTTAGACTTTAGAACTTAGGGGTTTGGGCCATAAAGCGTATGAGGAGAAAAAAAAATGAACTTGGGACCACATGAGGTGAAAGCTAGCATTCAGTCTCCCTACACGAAGCCACAGACCTCAAAATGCCACCCAGTCCATGAGAAGCCAGGACACATGGAATCCCCTCCTCAAAAATGTACATACAAACAACAACTATCAAAACTTCTGCAGAAGAGGAACTCACAAAGAAAAGCTATGAAACACAAAAGGAAATGGAACATGATGAGGAAGATTAAGCAGATAAAAATAGACAATAATTTGTATCCCCACAACTGAAGAAAGGAAAATCTAAAATGGACTATTAGATAAATACAGTGAATGAGTAGAAAGGACTAGTTTATAACTCTGTGGGAATAAAAGGTTGCTTTGAAAAGGAACAAAAAAGACACCAACTAAAGAGGGAGGTAATAAGGGAGGTGATACACCTGGGAAAATCATGCAGAATGCAGCATGGAGAAATGAAGAAATAAAAAATATGAAAGATTCATTAAGAAACATGAGGCACAGAATACTCAATGCTGTGTATACATAAATTCTAAAAATAAAAGAGGAGAGAATAAGGGAGAGAATATTCAAAGTAATGGTTGAAAACTTTCCATAATAGAAGGAAAACACGGGTCTCTAGTATTTCTAAACATACCACAGCTAACACAACAAGTAAAACTGCACTCTTCCAAAGAAAAGAGGAAACAGCTAAAGCAAACAGAGAAAACAATTATTGACAAGGAAACCATAATTACATTGACAGACTTCTTTCATCAGCTACAGAAGATGACAGAAAGCGATGAAAAAATATCTCCTAAGGACATCCAAAAAGATTATCTTCTAAGAACTAAGAAAAAATAACTATCACTTTAGAATTCTATACTTAGCAACACTATATTCATGAATGAAGCAAAATAAAGATATTTTTCAGAAAGTAAGCCAGAGAGATTTTATCACTCAGAACTGTCCATAAAAGATGCTCCTTCTTAGAAGCCAGACAGAATCCGGAAGGAACATGGAAAATGCAAAAACAATAATACATAAATAAACTGGTTGTCATGTTGGTAAGTCTACCTAGAACTACTGACTGGCTACAAAAACAACAACAAAATAGTAATAATGGTTTATTTGGGGAGTATCAAAAAGCAGGTATAAGTAAAATACTGAACAATTGTAATATTATATGTAAGAATGGGAAGATTGTAGTTAAATGGTATTTAGATCCTTGCGTTATTTGGGAAGAGGACAGAGATACTACCTTTAGCCTTTGATAAATATACACGTAAAACATTTATGCATACTTCAGTCAACATTGGAAGTTAATAGGTCACGGAAGTATGCTGTAATTTCTAAAGTAAAGGTAAATGAAAGACTTTATAGGTTCTGAACAGGAAAAAAATGGGGAAGAACCTGCTAAATTTTGGATACCAAAAGTTATTTAAAAACTATGGTAACTAAGAGAGAGTGGTACAGGTGCAGTGATTGACAAATAGACCAATAGAACAGAAGCAAAAGCTCAAAAAGAAACCAATGCATATGAAAACATTCAAATTAGGGCAAAGGTAATATTACTAAGTAATTGTAGAGGACAGTCTTTTTAATAAATATGAAGGTAAAAACAAATCTCTAGAACATTATATTAGAAAATATCTTCATGAAGTTGGAGTAAGGAAATATTTCTTAAACAGGACATACAATGTACTTAACAATAAAAGAATGGTAAATTATATAATATTAAAAACTTCTGTTCACAAAATAAATTATTAAGAGAGCTTTGAAAAGGCAAGCTACTTATTAGGAGAAGATGTTTGCCGTGCATATTCCAGACAAATGGCTTGTATCTAGAAAATATAAACAACCTCTTCATATTTATATAAAAAGATTATAATTAAGTAGAAAAATGGTCAAGAGACTTGAACAGGCAGCTCATCAAAGGGGAAATTCAAATGGTTAGAAAGTTGTACAAAGGTCCTCTACTTCATTAGTCATCAGGGAAATGCAAAGCAAACCCTCAATAAGATACACTTACATACACACCACATGAATGATTAAATTGTTCCCAGGAAGGTTATACCTCTGGCGCCATAAAACATTCCCATTTTACCTATTCTTGCTAACTTTGAGTGTTATCGATTTATTTAAATTGCCAACATGACGGACAAAGTGGTAACTGACAGTTTTAGTTTGCGTTTTGGAATATTACAGATTTTGTAATTTTTATGTATATTGACTAGGACATGTATATTTGTATATTTTTATTTTGAGACTCATCTATATCCATTTTTCTACAGGCTATCCATTATCACAAACACTGTTAGTTCCATCTTCCTTAGTAAGAAGGTATAGCTGGTATTCAAGGCAGCAACGTGCCCACAAGGAATAGTGGTATGACCCAGTTCTGGCCATGAAGTAATCAGAAGCCTACTACTGAGGATCCAGGAAAATGGTTTGTTTCCTAGTGAAAAGACAGTTTCAGCTGTCTTCTGACCATCTCCTTCCTCCTGCCTAGGATGCAGAATGTGGTGTCTGGAGGAAAGCATCAATCTTGTCAACATGAGGATGATAGCCACATACATGTTTAGGACAGTAGAAGAAGCCTGTATCCTGGAGGCCTTCCTTGAGCTGCTGAACTAGTCCTGAATTGTCTTCCTCCAGGTTTCCTGTGATGAGAGAAAAATAAAGCCCCACTGGATTCAACCTCTGCAGCAGGGTTTGTTACATACATCTGAACACAACTGAACTGCTACATCCATCTCTTTCTTATTTATTTGAAATATGTTTTTAATAGATTAGGTATAGATTATAGCAAGTTTATAAGCAAGAAAGCACAAATTTCAAAAGGAAGGAGGGTATACATAGGATCCCTGTGCCTGGACATTTTCTTTTAGATATCTATGCTTTCTCAAGCAGTTAAAGTAATCCTTTTTAAAAGTAAGTCATGTCAGGTCACTCCCCTATTTAAGTCTTTGCAATGATTCCTGTGTCATTAAGAGTAAAAACCCAAGCACCCAAAATGGTTTATGAGAGGCTAGAATGCTCCTGCCCCCGGCCTATTCTGAAATTCAGGCCTCATTTCCACCTGCTCTCTCCCAAGCACTCATTCTGCTCCCCCAACACAGGCCTTCCTGATAGCCCTTGAGCTGAGCATACTCCCACTAAGGACCTTTACATTTGCTGATCCCTCTGCTTGGAGCATCAGGTACGTTGGCTTGTCTCCCTCCCCTCCCCCCACAGGTCTCTGGTCAGGTGCATCTGGTAAGCGAGGCCTTCCTTCACAGCCCACACTTCACATACCCCCTACTTGATTCACTTTGCTTCTCTGCATTTCCCACCACCTGATACATTATAGAATTACTCCTTTAAGAACTTATCCTTTAATGAAATTATTTTTAAAATAGGAGAAAATATGGATGAATATTTGTCATCACTTTGAATATAGAAAGGATTTCCCAACACAAAAGCAAAGAAAGAATTCACAAAGTAAAAGATTAGTAGACTTCATATAAATAAATTCTTAAATTTACCCAGTCTGAGAAAATTAAAAGGCAAAAAAGCTGGAATTTCCTGGAGAAAATATCTGTGACCATTGAAATATAGTTTATATAGAAAGAACATTAAAATCTCTGGGAAAAAGCAGCAAGTCTCCTAAAGACAGAAATACAAAAGGATAGGCAGGGATAGATATTTAACAAAAAGGGAAAGAAAAATGAGTAACAAACTTTTAAAATACTCTACTTCACTAATAATAATGTTTAAAATGTAAACAAGAAGATATAATTGTGCATGTTTTTAAAAAATGGGGGACAAAGTTAAAAGAATATATGATATGGACAACTTCATAAATTGATGATGGAGGTATAAATTAGAGTCTTACTCTGGAAGCATCTTGGCATTTTTGTATCTAGAGTTTAAAAAATATTGATACCCTTTGATCTGGTATTTCCACTTGCAATATGCATAGCAAGATAGTCATAGACTAACATTCACAGAAAAGTTATTAGCTGCAGCACATTTTAAAAGAGCTAAAAATAGAAACACAAATATCCCACAATATGAGAATGGTTAAATATGTTATGTTATATGCATAATATAGAATATTAATATCTCATTAAAATCATTTAAAATAATTTTTAACCTGAAAAAATATGTAATTTTCATATAGTTGAAAATTCAGGATGCTACATACATTGCACAGTATAAGTGTTTAAGAATGTGAAGAAATCTATATAATCAAGATCAAAGAAAACATACCAAATATCAATAATTTCTGCATTCATATGATAAAGGTAGAAACATTTTCTTTCCTTTTCAAAATATAGTTCTGAATTTCCTAAATTTTTATCAACAATTTTAAAAATCCCAGAAAAAAATGACTCTTACTTAAAATAAAAGCACATTTAAAGTGTGGTGTTCATGATCCTAGGTTCTGCCAGTCTCAATAGAATGATTAATATTCATTGTTCATAATAAGTATTTCAGGTAAAATGTATGCCTGAGAAAATTTTCTGATGCCAGAAAAGTTACCTAAGAAAAAAATTTAGATCCTCAAGACAGAAATGCAAACCAAAATAAAGAAAATGATGGTGAACCTGGCTCCAGCACTATGTGAAATTCTATCAGAAAGTGCAGCCTGTTATGATCCTTCAACAAAATGGAAAGCATAGGAGGAATGACTCTCCTCATTGGGCATGACCAGTAGGTGTACAAGGAAGAACCATGTCCTCCTAGACCTTCTTTTAATTATTTCAGTCAACTGTCAACTTTGCTGTTACTTCCTATGATTTCCAAATTCCTGACTCTAATCATATATAAGTCCCCTTTCCAAGGATCAATGGCAGAAATACTGATAAAACTCCAATGAGAAAATGTTTACATTTTATTATTTTATTTATTAACTAAATATCCCTAAATAAACGATTAATTTAATAGATAAACACTAACATTCTGAAAATTCAGCCTCAATGGTTGCTTCAGGTAGCTGAGGTAGCTTCAGAGTTCCAGGTACTCTCAAATACTTTCAACTCATCTCAACCAAATGTACACATTACAGAATACATTGCACAGTCTGAAAGACCATCTGCTTGATGGCCCGAGCCCACAAGGTCCCAGGTATTTGAGGCTGGTGGTGACAATTAACAGAACAATTGATCCGGAGCCCACAAGGTCCCAGGTATTTGAGGTTGGTGGTGACAATTAACAGAACAATTGATATAATCCCCATTTTGGCAGTTTGGTAATATTACAAAGCACACATTCAATGACCTAGAAAATATAGCTCTAAAAATTTTCCTACATATACATGTGCATGCGCAAAATGACATGGGTGAAAAAATGAATTCACAGATATGGAATTTAAAACGGTCACCTAAAAATCCATCAATAATGGACTAGTAAAATGAATTGGAATATATCCATAGAGTGGAATACTTTGAAACAATGAAAGAGATAAAAAGAATCTCCTTGTGTACTCACTCATTTATATAGATGTTTGCCAGTAAGACAAACCAGTAAGTAAAAAAGCAAACAGACAGCCTGCAGCCTATGTTACCATTCGTCTTGTGAAAGGTATAAAACTAAAACGTTGACTGCCTCTGGGTTGGAGAAATTGGTGGCTGAGAAATGAGGCAGGAAGGAGACTCTTTCTTCCCTGTATACTATTTTATCTTTAAAATTTGTAACATACGATGGTATTACCTATATGAAAATAAAATAAAACACTTGAAAATACATACAGAACAATTTAACTGTATGTTTCTCTGTTTTTCTATTAATATTCCCAATCTCAATTACTGTTTATGGCCCAGGTTCTTTTCTATTCTAGTAAAATACATGTCTATTGTAATAGGCAAATGTTTTCCAGCTCAGAACATTAACTACTGCAGGATCTTTTACCCAAAGGACAGGATTCTTTTATTTTCAATATCAGTTATTAATTTACATGTTTAACTATGATTTGTTAAGTGCTCTCCACATGCTAACACGTGCACGAGGCCTACAAAGTGGAAAAGATGCAGGTCTTATTTAAAGGAGCTCATAATACAGTAGGAAAGACAGAAAACTGAGCAAGCAACTTATTCCATTCATAACTATCTATTTATTCCCACTATGTGCAGGACAAATCAATACAGTGTGATAAGTAGGAAAAGAAAGGGAAGAGATAAGGCACCAGGAGAGCCCAGACAAGCCCAGCTCTATCAGAGTAGGTGAGAGAAGTCCAAAAGACAACAGGAATTACCCAGGACATGGAGGGGGCAAAACATGTTCCACCATGTCCAAAAGTTAAGAAAATCCATTGAGCAATCAGTAACCTACAGGTAGTTACCATGGCTCAGTAGAAGAGTGTGAGGGGGTCGCGTGCAGAAAAGAAGCTGGAGCAATGGACCAGGAGAAGTCAGACCACAAAGGACCATGCTCAAGGTTTGGAATTTTAGCCCAAAGACACCAAAGACTCACAAAGGGTTTCAAGCATTTGGGATTCCCAAACAGTAGTTTCCAAACTTGGTTATACATCAGTATCATCAAAAGAGTTTGATTTTCAGTCCCACCCTAAACTTATTGAATAAGAATTTTTGGGCATGGGTCCCAGAATCTGCACTTTTTTTAAAAGTTTGCCTGGTGATTCTGATAGTAAACCAACTATAGGATCTAGGTATCTAGGATCTCTGATATATACACCTCAAGGCTCAAAATACCCTCTTAGTGACTAGAAATGAAACAAGGAAAAGTCTCTGCTCCTCCCTCCCAATGCAATTGCTGAGTATAGAAGAAAGTTGGTTTTATTGGGCTATCCCAACACCAGAGACAGAGAAAGCAAAAGGCAGGAACAATGGGATAAATCAAGGCTAGTACTCTGAAGGGGAACATTTATAAGTCCTAATCTACAGGAAGAAAAAGAAAAAAAACAAATGAAATCTCAGTTGACATAGGTACAAAAATTTCTTCTTACTTTGATTATTTTAAGTCATTATAAGACACCAAAGCAGACAGTACAATTTAACATTACTTTTAGCTCAGCCACATATTTGGAGTTTAAGACTCATATTTGGCATTCATAGCCATACAGCACATACAATCTCAACTGGCCTAAAATGGGAAGTTTTTCACCACCTGAGGCAAAATGAGAAGTGGCTATTTGCTTCCTGTACCAAGATAACTTGATGTTACTAAAGACTGGGGAGAGCTTCACATTCACAACTCTTTAATGCTTTAATGCACCACAGTAAACATTCATCTCTATTTTGGGTTTGTCTTCCCTATTAAAATTCATCTTGGCTCACGCCTGTAATCCCAGCACTTTGGGAGGCCGAGGCAGGCGGATCATGAGGTCAGGAGATCGAGACCATCCTGGCTAACACGGTGAAACCCCGTCTCTACTAAAAATACAAAAAATTAGCCAGGCGTGGTGGTGGGCACCTGTAGTCCCAGCTACTCGGGAGGCTGAGTCAGGAGAATGGCGTGAACCCGGGAGGCGGAGCTTGCAGTGAGCCGAGATTGCACCACTGCGCTCCAGCCTGAGTGACAGAGTGAGACTCCACCTCAAAAAAAAAAAAAATTATCTTGGCCACCATTTGAGGTGTTTTGCAAGACATAATTACACAGTAATTCTGACATGAAAACAAAAGAAAGAAATAAGGAAAACCAAACTACCATACAAAGATACACTTTAAACATTTAACAGCCTTCAATATAGATGAGTCACATACTAAATAGAAATACCACCCACAGTTCCACCTGATCTGCACAGCGTTTCCTTCCAAAAAAGCAAGTGTATGTTTATTAAATGTATTCATTCACTCATTCAATGAGTATTTACTGGGCATCCACTCTGTGGCAGACACTGTGATAAGTACAATGAAGTGGTGAATAAGGCAATCTTCTCCCTGCCCTCACTTCACATACTGGTAAAAACAAACACTAGACAAAGCACAATAAGGACATGGGGTAAAGTGCTGTGAATGGAGGCCCAGGATGCTAAGGGAACACACCACTGGGACCTAATCTGGTCTGGGGGTTATGCAGAGCTTCCCCTGAAGATTTTGTAAAAGTTGTGATTTCAAAAATTAAGTAGAAGTTGGGGGGGGGTGTGGAAGGAAAGAAGAGGAGGAAGAATAAGTGTATGTATAGATTGGGAGGCAGGGTAGGAAGGGAATAAGATAGACATGGAGGAACAGCATTAGAAAATGTATAGAAACGAGATAAAACATGGTGTGCTTTGAAAACTGAGAAAATCATTATGGGTTGGCAAAGAAGGAAAAGGAAAACATAGACAGTATATAAAGAAAGGTGGCAGGAGAGATAGCCAGGGGATACCTATGCACAGTATCGAATTAATCTGGAACACTCCCCTGAATTAAGCAGAGATGAGTACTTTTGTCCCAATTTATAATTAGCTCTAGAGCATAAAAATTAAGTGCCTTGGCCAAGGTCACCAAGTCAGAGCAAAGTCAGCTGTCTGTGGCACTAGATCCATTTGTCTAATGGTTCCAACAGATACTGAAATTCAGGATATTGCTTTAGTCCCAAATTACATAAAATTGAATTTTCTGATGTTTTAATAGATATTAGCACCAGTAAAATATTTGTTGTTCATAACATCAAATTATTGAGTGATATTTTATTAAGTTTTTCAAAATGTTACCATTGGGGGAAACTGTACACAAGTTCTTTCTGTTATTTCTTATAACTTTATATGAATCAATAATTATCCAAATAATTTGTTGAAAAATGGAATTACTGGTTTACCCAAAAACTAACAGTAAGAAGACAAGAGAGGAAAGTATGATTTTTATATACTAGGATGATCTTCATGTTTTTCAGCTTACTACTAATTCATTCAAGGTTTTGGGACACTACAGATTTAACACTGATCAAGGGATTTCTATGTGCTAGACGCCTTGCTAGTTAATTTGCAATCTCATATATGCCTCATAACTACAAGATCAATGTCTTATAATTTCATTTTATGGATTAGAAAATAAACACAGAGCAGCTAAATAATTCACCCAGAGTTTCAAGGGTATGGGTGGCAGAGGCAGAACTCAAACCCAGGTCTGTGTTACTCCAAAGCTCTGGTTCCTAGGTTGAAAGCCAGGTCCTAGGTTCTTTCCTTCCATGGGTCATTCACTCCCTTTAGGCTTCCATTTCCTCTACTCAATGAAACTAAACCAGATGAGCTCTGATTTCATTTCAAGTTCTAAATGTTTGCCAACTTACAATGAACTGGTAAAGTAAATGCTATATATGCTATCTAAAAACAACATTATGATAAAATGTTACTTTTTTTCATTTATTCCCCCTTTCCTTAGTTTAGATAACTATTAGGGTGAACTACAGAGTAATTGTGCTTTTTCTTAATTCTGAGAAACTCCATGTAGACAATATATTTATATGATTATGTAGCCATGTATCACATAGATACAGACATATGTACCATATAGACAATAAAAAGACTCTATTGCAAACATCTTAAGCTATAAAAATATAAGCAAATTTATTGGCTCATGTTACTAAAATGTACAAGGACAGGCAAGTTTCAGTCATGGATGGATGCTCAAACAACGTCCTCTTGGGAGGAACAAAAGAGGAAGAGAGATTGTCCTAAGCTAAAAAGAGGTCAGAGACCTTAACCTCAAGCCATTCCTACCCTTTAAACCCCAGAGTAATTACTATATGCCAGCCAGTCCTCTCCCAGGTCAACTTTTCTTTCAGGTGCCATCTCAGAAATGTCTAATATTTCTGTGATGACTCATATCCCCTCCAGGTTCCGCCCATTCACAGCTTCTTTGAAAAACTATGTGCACTCACCATCTCCATCTGCTTCCTCACGTCCCATTCACTCTCTCACTCCCTGTAATCTTTTCTCCACCCACCTACACCCCACTCAAAACACTTTTGCTTACAGCACAATGACTTCCATCTGGCCACTATGATGGGCCTTTCCTGCTCTCCGGTTCTTAATCTCCCAGTAGAACTTCACATGGTGGACAACTTTCAGAACTTCTGAAAGCTCTTCTCTTGGATTTAGCAATAAAATATCTGCCTGGTTTTCCCAACTCCTCTGCTGTTCCTTTTCAGTCTTCAACATCCTCTTTCTCTACCCACTAATTAATTTCTCCAGGGCTTTGTCCTGGGTCCTCTTTTCTTCTCTCTCTACGTTCTTCCTTGTTGATCTCCCCTATTCCCATAGTATTAATATTATGAACATGCTAATGTTCCCCAATTTCCCTCTTGCTTTGACTATCCCTCCGGCTGACTATTTTATACCTCCACGTGGATGCCTCATAGGCTTTTAAAGCCCTGACTTTAATTTTTCATTCCTCACTCTCTATATCTATCCTCTCCAAAAAGCCAGCTCCTCTACCTTTCTAATTTCAACAAAGGGTTCCACCCTCCACCAGACAGGCAGGTCAGAAACATCCCTCTACCTTACCACCCCACAGAGCTGTGTCTGTTGGGAGTTCCTGTCACTTCAGAACCCAAAATAAATCTTGACTCTAGTCACTCTTCTCCATCCCCACTTCCCCAACTCTCATCCAATCCACCACCCTTTTTCTCCTGGACCAGACTCTTAACTGGCATCCTCACATCCAGTCAGATTTATTTCCAATACATTATCCTAAGAACACAGGGGAATTGCTGTGAGATGAAATCCAGAACATGTTACTCTCCTGCTTGCAACCTCTAAATGGCTTCTCAATCCACACTGGATAGAATATAAAATCCAGTTTCCCCTCAGAGAATGCTCCCCAGATCTGAAACTTATCATCATTCTTGTCTCTAAGTATCTCATTTCCTCCCTCTTTGCACTACCCATTCCATTGGCCTGTTCTCTTTTCTTCACAGGCCTTAACACTATCTGAAATTATCTTTCTGGCTTATTCTCTTGCTTAAATCTAATCCCCTCCTGTACAGTGTACACTCCATGAAGGCAGGCACCTTGCATTTACCTCTGTAATTCTAATGCCCAGAACAGTACCTGATATACAGTGGATACTCAATAAATAACTGCTGAATGAATGAATGAATGAATGAATGAATGAAGCACAGCCATCTTTGACATGCATCGTCTTGACTTTAGATGAAAGGAAAGGAAGTAAACAGGAAGTTTATTTTTAGCTCAGCTTCTATCGGAAGAGAATTATCTAATAACTCCAACAGTCTTTCATCCTGGTCAGTTTTTCAACATGAACAACTCATTGTATATTTCAAATTGAAGTCCAAACTCCCACAATCACTCTCAGATTATTCCATTCCACTCTATCAGCATGGGATAATTATTTATTCTAAAATGACTGGTTGAGCCATTCCTCTCTCCTTATTCAAAAGCCTAACCAACTTAAAAGTGACTTTGTATGTATTTGAAGGAGTAGTAATCATTCCTAACAATAACAGGATTTTATGTGGTCATGTCGTCGTCTACCTGTCTTCTAAATTACAGGATAATTTTACAGAGCACTTTTAAAGGGTGCTTGTTTGATATTGGTAAGGCCCTTTATTCTGTTGAACATCTTGATGAATGTTTGAATATGTAAGTTTGGGGCGAGAAGTTGAGGACAGTTAAACTGCTGTATAAAAAGACATTGAAGCTCTCAGGAACAGAAGGTGTGAAGGATATTTTCTGAGTATAGATTAGAAATATTTTTACAGAGTTACAATATTATAGTTAGGGGAATGTCGACAGTCCAGATACTTGTTTAGTGAATCTATTCATTCTTGACTTAGCTTGACAATAATTTCTTATCTCAGAATCATGATATTGATGCTGATAATGATTATGGTAACCACTAGCAATTATTGAGGACTAAAAATATACCAAGCACATTCCTAAAGCACTTGGTGTGCACTATTTCAGTCTTCATAACAATTTGCCTACAGCCAACCCAGAGAGTAAGCGGTGGTGTTGGACTTGAACCCAGATTTTCCCATGGTCTCAATTGCTATGCTATAAAAGAAGATTAACAGCTCCTCTATCATAATTCTAAGAAGAAGAAGTCACTGGAAGGTGATGCTGGTGTGACAGAAATTTTGGAGGAAATAAATTATGTCATCCTGGAGTTTGTGAAAGAGAAAGGATGAACTAAGACACAAATTTAGAATATACCATGGTTTGAAAGTTTGTGTCCCCTCCAAAAGTCTTGTTGAAACTTAATCCTCCGTGCAACAGTATTAAGAGGTGGGGCCTTTAGGAGGTGGTTAAGCCATGGGGGCTCTACTCTTTTGGATGGAATTCGTGCCTTATAAAAGGGCTAAAGGGATCGAGGTAGGCCCCTTTACCCTTCCACCTTCTACCATGTAAGGACAAAACAACAAGGCACCATTTTGGAAGCAGAGAACAGCCCTCACCAGACACTGAATCTGCTCATATCTTGATCTTGAACTTCTGAGCCTTGAGAACTGGGAGAAACAAATTTCTATTATCTTTATATTACCCAGTCTAAGGTATTTTGTTATAGCAGTGCACATGAACTAAGACAGGATCTTAATAAAAGTGTTCATTAAAATTAGAAGTAAACTAAGCATGATGTTAGGCTCAGAAGTTCTAAATAGGAACCTACCTACCTCAGAAAGGAATGAGCCTCTAAAAAACATTTCAGACAGGCACACACACACACACACATACACATACACACACTTGCAAACAGCTGCGGAGGGGAGATAAAAGAGCAGGCTTCCAGAGAAAATAATGTGGTCACAGAGGAAACTTTCTGAGGGGTTCAGGCTTCAAAACAACCACATAAAAGATGGAAGGAGAATCATATAACAAAGAATGAAATATAAGAGTAGCACTGACCTATATGAAGAATGTCAGAAAAGTTCAACTAAAGCCAGGAATGAGCTGGAGCCTGTGAAAAATGCCAAAGATGACAAAAAGGTTAGGCTGCAAAAACAAAAAGAAAAGATACTCAGAGCCAGAAAATGAATAAAGAATATTATTGTCCTTGGCTTTCAGTGGGGGGGGGGGGGGGGTGGATATTTACCAGTAGTTTGGCATTTGTCAGAAGCTACACAGAGAATTTGGCTGAGACATGTGCCAGTGTTGGGCCCACCAATCTTGCTGACTCGCTATCAGGAAGATTCCAGATCCCCAAAGAGGCAATGTACCTCTCTTAAAACACAAGTCCAAAAATGTCATAGAAGATGCATCCAACTTCTGCATTGTTGTCTACAAAGAGCAAACAGCAAAAGTAGATTAAGTATTGTTAAGAAGTACCTGGAGCTAACAGAAGAAAATGAGTTCATCCTTCAGGCCCTGATCAATTATATCCTATATTTCTGAAAGGCTAGTATGTCTTATAAAATCAAACAATGATTTTAAACTAATATGAAGGCTAGCAGTCCAAATTTGTCCTCAGGACTTTGACACTTGCTGTTCCCTCTGCCTGGACTACCGTTCACCCTGGATCTTCCTATGCTCCCTCACTTTATTTAGGACTGTCAAATGTCACCACCTCAGCCTTCCTGACCATTCTGTTTTGGTAGCTTGCAACCCCCTATTCATTATTCTATATCTCCTCACCCAGCTTCATCTTTCTTTGTAGCATTTACCACTACCTAAGAGATGTTTCTGCTTATTTATTTGCTGCCTTCTTACCCATTAGAATACGAGCTCTGTGGGATATAGACTTTGTCTTATTCACTACCTTATCCACCGTACCAGGTACTCAATGAATACTTGTTGAATGAATGAATATGTACATGAGTAGGGAGACCTGGGTCAGTTATAATTTTGGCGGATGTCATGACAATATCAAATGATGACAAGATTTGTATGAGCCAATAAAAATAGGTGGTAGCATTTTTTTAAATGTCATTTTAGGCTTTAGTAGTATGACAGTGGTATCTCAGGGATACATTAGAATTTCCCAAGTGTATTTACCATCATAATATCCATCTTTGAGATCTTCTCCCCTCATTTCTGGTTCAGTAACTATATGATGAGGCACAGGCATCTTTTTTTTAAAGGTGTTCCCATTGCTCACCTCCTATTAAGACTCACTGGCTAGAGAAAAATAGGTGGTCATTTCATTGGATTTTGTCAACCAACGTTCCAGGCATGCCTAAAAGATCCTGATGAGGGCTGGTGACCTAACTCAAAAACAACATGATCTGGTAGTTTTTCAGGTGAGTTATGGTGCATTTAGAGAAGGCTAGCCAAAGACAAATGCAGGAAATAATTAACATTCCATAGCCTAATAGATGCCTTTGGCCAATTCACAGGTAAGAAAGCTGACCTCTGACTCTAGTAAATGTCTTTACCTCTGTCACATCAGGGATCTTTGAGGGGGTCTCTATGTTACTACAGTCTGGAAAAGAGATATGTTTGGCTGGAAAACAAACAACAACTCATGATTGCTGCCTTCACATGTCTGAGGGACTGTGACTCAGAAAATGGGATATAGGTTTATTTTGTTCCTAATTCCAACCTCTGAAACAATTCAATATGAACAGGAGAAGTAAAAATAAAAGAGCACTGAACAAGGAGTCACCCAATCTAGGTTCCATCCCTCCTCTGACATTTACTACTAACTGCTATGACCCAAACAAGTCATTTACTCTCTCTGTGTCTCAGTTTCCCCAACCGTAAAGTGGCACAATGCCTGCCCTTCCTGCTTCATACTGCCTTCAATAAAGAAAGTCCTCTGAAAATCGTAAAGTTATATATAGATGGTAGGATTACTACCAAGTTACAGGATCAAGATTTAATTTGTAATTAAGAACTTTCAACACTTACAAGAACCAATCTAGTAGTGCAAGCTGTTTCAAACTGGGCAAGATCAAACTGGGACACAAAGACACGGATTGTTAATTGCACTGAAGTCATTCCTCCTTGAGAAGGAAAGAGAACGGGTAACTAATGTTTTCTAAGACAGTGGTCCCTTTATTGTTATTATTATTATTATTATTTTTGGTTTAAGGACTTCTTTTTCATGTCAGAAAATTTCACTGAACACACCACTCATATATATGTATGAGAGAGGAGGTGGGGAAAAGGCCACAGCCTCAGCAGCATCTGATTACAAAAATTCAAAATAACCAGAAGTACGATGCACTAGCTGATGCAGTCAAATAATTTCCATTTCTCAAGCACTATAGGACTCATGTCCATATGAAGACGGGCAGTGTGATTATGTGTGTAAGACATTACTCAGACTTCTAGGAAGGCAATACACTTTTTAGATTAGTGCACATTTTACAATAATGCATTCATTTTTGCAGACAGTGAAGCCCAGACACAGAATTCTTATTTTTTGCCACACTAAATTAACTAGTGGGCAGCATCCAAGTCCAGTCAGCCTTCACAAATGAAATAAGGTTCTGTCTAAAGGAAAAAAAAAATCTTTAAAATGTTCACTTCTCTTAACTCCAGCAAGCAAATTTCAAACAAGCAGTGGGTCCTGGATATTTTACCTTATTTATTTGAAAATGCCACTGATTGTAAGATACCCCATTGCCATATGTACTGGGAATGAAAAAAAGGCCAATTAAACTATGAAAGAATACTTTATCACTTAAAATTTTTTTATCTTTATTAAAATGTGCTTTTAAACTTGCCCAGATTGTTTTTTGTAATATATATTCTTGTACCTACATTACAAAGAAATAAACTGGTTAAGGTATCCCTAAACTTTCTTTATTTGCAGTTGGAATCTACTAAATAAATTGTGACTTGGTGTTTTCAGTTTCTGTGCTTCTCCACACAAAATCATTCTCTCTGCCATCAAGAGGGAGGTACTACAGCATCTCCTCAAAGAGAGATCACATATTATCTCCGAGATTTTCTTCTGAGCCACTGGCCCCCATTCTGCAAGTTCTGGTACAAATCCACAATCAAAAGCAATGATATCACAATTACGGCCTGGCCAGCAGAAGTATAAGACACATCCCAAAGACAGAATGATGTCCATCTTGAAAACAATACAGTATAAAATTCTTAGGAGAATCAATTCAGAAAAAAAAAATAGTTTTCTAACTAATAATGAAAATAGGCTTATCTTCCTAAGTACCTCATTGGTGATGTCCTCAGTCTTCTAATCCTCAAGGCAAGATAGGGAACCTGCTTTTAGTCTCCCTTCTGTTTCATCTAACTATACTGCCCATTGGACTTGCTCCTTGCTTCTCAGTCCTCCATCCACATCTTCCTTCAGGCTTTAACCCATCTCAAACACTTGATAATTACAGTTTTCTAACTGCCCTTCCTACCTGCAGTCTCTCTGCAATCCAACATATTAGGATTAATGACCTTCAAATACCTCTTTCATCATTAATTCCTAGTTCAAGCATTCCCACCTGCCCCATTTTTCCCATGGCTAAAACATCGAACTCCTTTGAAGGCCCCATAAAATCTGACCTCACTTTATTTATGAAACTTTATTTTCCACCTTCCTCTCCACACATCTGACCTGATGCTTGGGCCAGTCTCTTTATCTTTTGTTTTTACCATATGTATTCCCAACAGCACATTTTTGATCAAGCTACCTTCTCCTCCACCTATTCAGCTGTAATCTCTTTCCCTTGACAAAGTCTTTTCTGACTTTTCCAGGCCCTGTGGACTTCTTATTCTGTATTCCTGCTATGCTGATAGTGAGTATATTTTGGTTTTAAACTGAATGTGCACTCTTATTCTTTTTCCCTATGATTGTCAGCTTAGAATCATCAAAAACCAAACAAACCTTGAGGCTCAGTCAACTCCTGCCAAGGTGGCACCCCATACCCCCATTCAGTTTTAGTCCATGCTCTTTACAGTCTTATAGCAGCAGGTGGTAACTCTTGCAAATCTTTTTTTTTTTTTTTTTTTTTTGAGACGGAGTCTCACTCTGTCATCCAGGCTGGAGTGTAATGAAGCGATCTCGGCTCACTGCATCCTCCACCTCCTGGATTCATGCTGCTGTATCTTCGCACCTTCACCACCACCAGCCTCAGCCATGTGCATCTTAAATTCATACTCAATAATCACAAGGATCAGCAAGTCCACTATGCCCCCTACCATGGCCACCAACAGGCCCTATAGGGGCCTGTGGAATATTGAATAGTCAAGGCTCACTCATGCTGAGCAGGCTAAGCTGGTCTGTTAAAAAGGAAGGGGCAGTTATAAGAAGAAAGGGGGCTTTCTGAGAAACAGAACCATTTAACCATGGCATCTATGATGTTTGTATCAGACAACCTCATGCTGACTTGAAAATCTAAAGAAAAATAATCTGTTGAAGCTCTACCTTTATGTGACTTTGACCACTCAACCCTTTATTTGACCACTCAAACCTTTATTGCCCTGACTTTGGGTATGAGCGAGCTTTTTTTTTTTTTTTTTTTAGAGACAAGGTCTCCCTCAGCCACCCAGACTGGAGTGCAGTGGTCCAATCATAGCTCACTGAAATCTTGAACTCCCAGGGAGAGAGCACTTTTTTATTTAATTTGTTTTAACAGAAGTGGTCTCACTATGTTGCCCAGGCTGGTCTCAAATTCCTGGGCTCAAGCAATCCTCCTGCCTCGGCCTCCCAACGTGCTGGGATTACAGGTGTGAACCACTGCACCCGGTCGAGAGAGCAATTTTGATAAGACATCTCCCAAACAGTTGTTAGACTATTTAAAAGATACGATAGCAGATAGGGAGTGTAAACTCTGAAGCAAGACTGTTGAAGTCCTAAACCCATTGCTTATTAGCCGTGTGACCTTGGACAACTGACTTTAAAGCCTCTGCATCTTGGTTTCCTTATCTGCCAAACGAAAATGATATTATAACAGTACTATTTATCTCATATGGTTGTTGTAGGATTAAATGAAAAATTCTTAGAGCTGTGCCCAGTACAGAGTAGGTGCTCAATAGGTATTAGCTACTACTATCATTGTCATCATCATCAACATTTTTATTAACAATAAAAGCATTTCATTTATTGTTATTTATCTTTTACTATAAAGGCATCTACTGGCAGGCCTGTTCCAAACACAAGGCAAAGCCTGGCTTCTCTGATATCATTTCTTCAACCTACCTATTAAAATATTGCTTTTCTCTAATGTCTTGTCATCAGCCTTCCTCTTTCAATGTAAATTCTCTCCTTTGGGGATGTTATCAAGCCAGCTTCCCTTGTGAGTTCTAGACCTGCAGTCAAAGTTAAGACTCTTACTGTATTCTGATGTCTTCACCTGGATGGTTCATCCACAGGAACCTGGAATATCACATATCTCTCCTGGCTCCTCACTACCTATGGGGCAAATGCAAATCCCTCAGCCCAGCATTCTTGTATGCATCTCTTCAAGTGCCATCATTTTCAAACTCCTAGACCTTGGGTCATCCTATTCCCTTCACCTAGAATCCCTTTTCCTTTTCCTCCATTTGAAGAAAAACTCCCTTGGAAGCATTGCCTATGACCTCATTAGAAGACCTCCTCTTTCCTGTAGGTTCTCAAAGCACTCCCAGATATTCTATATCACAGCCCGTATCACACTATATGATAGTTTGTGGCTTCTCTCCTGTTCAGAAAGAGCTTAAAGACACAGGAAGGGGAACATCACATACCAGGGCCTGTTGTGGGATGGGGGGAGGGGGGAGGGATAGCATTAGGAGATATACCTAATGTAAATGACGAGTTAATGGGTGCAGCAGACCAACATGGCACATGTATACATATGTAACAAACCTGCATGTTGTGCACATGTACCCTAGAACTTACAGTATAATAAAAATATATATATAAAAAGACTTCATATTTTATTCATTTTTGTATGCTTAATGCCTAGTACAGTGGCAGACACATATTTTTCAAATAGATTAATAAGCTTCTGAGCCCAGGCAAACTTTTACTAGATTTTCTAAATCCCTAACAGATCAACATTTTCACCCACGGGGACTCCAAAAACTTATTGATAAATGAAATATAAAGGAAAGGAAGTAAAACGTATATGCAAAGACTACTGACTCTAAGATTACTAATAAATATTAGTTTAGCAGTTCAGCACACAGAATATTATAAGAAATGAATTTGCATTTTTCCCTGGCATTGTCATATTTTCTACCCAATGAATAGGGCCTTCAGGCACTGGTCCTGCTGTCACTAATTGAAATGTGTTTTCCTGATATTCAGCTTGTGTTGCTTTGTTGATTCATGTAGCACCTTGCTTAATTAAATAATGTAAGTGCTTGGTTACATAAGGCTACCAAATTTCCACTTCACAATTCAAGAAGTCATCATGGAAGAAGCCACTCAGTATTAGATAATACTAGATGGCAGTAGCAGTTGCAATAGAAAAATCCAAATTATCAGCCTCACTGATATCTGTCTACAGCTGCTATACAATGGTGTGGTTCTATTTTACATTTTGGTGTTCCTTGAGTGCCCTGTAGAGAAAAAGTATAAAGACAAGCACAAAACCGTCCACATGGGGAAAAAACAGCACAAATAAGCCAGTAAATCAAACCCCTAAATTGCAGTAAAATAATCAACTACCTTGATGTTGCAGATCATGCAACTAATATAGACATTATGCTTACCTCTCAAAAAACTTTTATAGTAGTTTATGTGGTCAATACTTTACAACATCAAAGCAATGATGCCAAGGACAGAAAAAGTACCGAGTAGAGAGAAGACTGCAGAGATTCAACTCTTGGCTCTTCAACCGTCTGTGGCTTTCCTATTTTCCTTAATCTCTTTCCCTAAGCCTCCTCTGTCTGTGATTAAGGAAAATCCTGCTCCTTCTCACACATTATGCCCATTGTATCTGTAATTCAACCACTCAAAATGAATTCAAAAATATATACAAAAGGTATTTGTCAGGCACTCTACAAGCCACCCAGGATGCAAAATGAATAAGATACATCACTCCCTCAAAGAGCTCACAGACAAGCAGAGATCTAACCAGGCCCATCCTCCTGCCTGGGTGCAGTTAGCCTGCACCCTCTGCCTAATTTTGGTGCTTGCTGCAATGTACTGAAGTACGTCCTTTCACATCTGTGCCTCCTCTTAGACCACAAGGCCATTGGAAGCAGAGGCCACATCTTGTTCATGTGTCGCATCTATGGTAGTCTGGTTCCCTCCTACATTTCTGATCTCATCTCCCACTACTTTCCTTCTCCTTCATTCCACTCCAGCTGCAATGACCTCTAGGCTGGTCCTTAACGTGCCAGGGGAACACATGCACCTGTGTTTGCACTTGCCATTCCCTTTGCCTGGATCACTCTTCCCTCATATATCTGCATTGCTAGCTTCCTCACATCCATCAGTTTTTGTTCAAATGTCCCCTCCTTAGTTAGTGAGACCTTCTCCAATCACTTTTTAAAACTTCAAGTCATATACCATAGCATTTTCTATTGCCCTGCCATGTCATCTTTTCCTCCATCACACATCACTAATACAAGCTGCATTTTTCTAATCTTGCTCATTGACTGCCTCACCTTGCCACCAAAATACAAGCTCCAGGAAGACAGGAATGTTTATGTATACACTGCTATATACACGGCACCTCAGATAAATGTTGGTACATGTATATTAAAGGGTTAATAAATATGTCATGAATATACAAACTTTAGGAACTCCAAAACCTAGCATAATTACAATCTATGCTCTTCAGGAAATGAAAATTTCCAGAGTTTGAAGGGTAAAAATGGTAGGGAACGTTTTGGTGGTCTGGTCACTGCAATTCAGTTTCTCCTTCCTAACAGCATCCAGACTTCCTTTCAGGGACTTCTGTGTCTCCTGCTGTGTGAAGTCTTTGGTGATAATAAGTTCAGGTGCCTGGCCTCGTACTAGGGCAGTCGAAAGGGCAGATCCTTCCACTAACTGCCCTGGTGTAGCTGGGCTGAACCCATCACACAGTCTCTTCTTATTTGCACCCTAAGCAATTGCCACAACAGTGGAAGAAGCAGTCAGAGCTCATTCACCTCGGTGGTGGTGGCTTGCTCAACAACTGCTCCTGTTATGAGACTGTTCACCAGATTCCTCGTCTCTCACCCATGTGATACCTCTTTGCTTCCCATCCATTCCCAAGCTTGGTTCTCTAGACTGGTGAATCGAGTGAGCTACCTTAGCCCTCCCAAAAGGTCCTCTCTTTACCCATGTCAGCCAAATCCTTTCTATTGCTTGTATCCAAAAACTCCAATGATACAACATGAAAAAGAAAATAATAAATCAGAGTATTTATTAAGGGACAAATACGTTTCCTTATTTGGCTCAGAGAAGAATGCAAGTCCCATGGGGTCCATGTAAGAGAAGTGATCAGATCTAGTCTTTGAATAATGAACAGGATCATCTGGATGGGTGGGGAAGGATGAGGCTCTGAGACAAGGAAAAAAGAAACAATACTTTAAAATCTCCTACTATGAGCCAGACACTCTGCTAGACACCTTCCTCAAGAACCCACAACTAGTAAGACAAAGGTGGAGCTTAGATTTGAGACAAGATCAAAGTGTGGTTTCAAGGGAGTGTAAGCAAGACTGAGATAGAAGATCAAATGACTAATAGAAGAACCTCTTAATTGGAGGGGTGGTGAATAAAACTTGAGATTAATTATGAGGTAGTAAATGGTAGAACATCTAAATTTAAATCTTCAGGCTATGACTATTCATCCTGACTATGACTCAGGAATGGAAGTGAGGCTAGAAACATGAATTGGGTAAGAAACACAAATTTGAATATAAATTAGTGAATCAGTGCTCTAAAATAGTAAGCTAATCTATTTATGCATGTGAATGACAATATATTCCATTTGTATATTACTCTTTTTATACAATGTTTATCTTGAGCTGCATCAAACCCTAATGATTACATCAGGTGTTAGAATGGGGGTATTAAACTAAGAAGTAATTATTCTTTTGCTTTTCAGTTTTTAATTACTTTTTGAAAAGATAGATTGGAGGCCATAAGTTACATTTTTTCATTTTCATTACCCTCTCCAGTTCCTGAATAGTTTTTCAAACTGTGTGCATCCTCTCCCCCAGTCCCTTCCATATGGAAGTTCTAGTGTTCACAAATACGTTGCGAAAATAAGCTACAGAGCATTTTAAATATGCTTATTTTACTTGGTCAGAAGTGTCAGTCTCAGGCAATCTGTCTGCTAGAAAGCATAAAAACCAATTCCTCACACAAGAGTTGAAATATTAACTGAGTATAAGTGTTTAAAGTGTTAGCAGAAAATAAACAATATATTAGAGGTGGAGAAAGTGGCTCTGGGAAAGAAACTAATGATTGAAACCATGTTTTCTTCACTTTCTCTTTATTTAAGATGGTATCTTTAAGACCATATGTAGCTCAAAATGGTGAGTTCCTTTCCATTGTGTTCAGATAAAATTGGTTCCACAGATCTTGAGAGGAAAGTGATTTTGACATGGCAGGTGGCCAGCTGAAATCATTAAGCAGCAGGTCTGAACAAATACATAAGCAAAAGCACAGCAAAGAAAAGAACTATTAGCTGACTATTCCTCAACTAAAGTAGATGCTACCTCCCAACATCAGCAACATAAAATAATATTTCCCTAAGCAGATACTTTACACGTTTCCAAGAAACCAGAATGACTCCTGAGGTGATGGGTAAAAACTAGCAAAAGTCATCGGTTCTAGGTGGATTGGGGTGTTGGGTTATTTAAGGAAACACACGTTCATTTACTGCTAATTCTCTTTAACATGCATTTTCACAGAAACTATTGTTTTGCTTTTTCGTCAACTCACCCCAACACCTGCCAATACCCATCCTTTAGCAGAGACAGTTTTAGTCAAGGGTTTTACAGAAAGGATTCCTGTATAGAACAAAAAATAATTTAGGACCTTAAAGGGCCTCTCAGGTACCCTGAAATATAAGACTACATAAATATTCTTAAAAAGTCATCTGCGTTCTTTCATGACAGGTAGACTCTTCCAGAGTGATCTTCAAAGCTTACACAGAGGATTGGGGGGTGGGGAATGAGCGTCCCTGTCTTCATCAGCCTTCATTCTGGAGGCTGTGTTGCATAAACATGTGCATACCTGAAACTGGTGGATCTCAGTTCAAACCCTGGCTCTGACACCAGAACAGATTTAAGGATTGTTAACTTACAAATGGAATCATTTGTAATATGGGAATAAAGACGGTACCAGCCCGCTACATTTATACTTCTCAATAAATATTAACAATCAATATTTTCATTAAAATGCAAGTGGCATGCTTCAGGAAAAAAATCAGAAGAGTCTGGAATTTTAGAAATCATCTAGTCCCACTCTATCACTCTACTAATAAAGAAGTCACAGCCCAGAAAAGTGAAATGGCTTGTTCAAAGGGTCACAGCTAAGTGGCTGGGTGGCAGGGCTAGCCATGCAAAACCCATGTTTTCTGACACTCAGGACACTGGCCCTTCCACCTTATCACAACCTAATGAAGCTAGAACCACAAGTTTATTTTAATACATTTTATGTAATAAATACATATTAAGCATCTCCTACAGTCAAAGTTTCATACACTCTTTTCCTCTCCATCAGCCTTGTGTTACCACACTGAGGAGCCCAGTGCCCTCCCCAAATTGTTTTCTTTCTCCCTATCCCCATCCAAACAAGCTAATTATTTTTCCACAGGTGGAAGTGATTGACTATAGACCCTACACGGGACTTGTTATATAATAGGAACACAAGAAATACTCATTGAGTGACTTCACTCATAAAATAACCTGTTCAAAAACAGAAAATCAAAAGAAATTAACCTGGAATTGTAGCAAATGTCTATAGGAAAACTGATGGAGAAAACTTTTTGACAGGGGAGGAGTCCTCTCCAGGTACTTCTTAAATGCACAATACGCAAGTGTCAACATACTCATGAGGCCCATGCAAGACACGTGCCACCAGAAATAGCAACTAAACTA
Source organism: Homo sapiens (assembly GCF_000001405.40). Taxonomy (NCBI): domain Eukaryota; kingdom Metazoa; phylum Chordata; class Mammalia; order Primates; family Hominidae; genus Homo; species Homo sapiens. The sequence continues at coordinate 100,831,215 of NC_000012.12, read as the reverse complement.
AATGTCGACTGTGGAGTGTCTGCAACAACCTCAAGGAAAAGTCATCCAGTACAGCCTGACAATTTTAAATGTCACAGCATTTTCTATCAAGTACTTTTATCAATAACCACAGGATCTTTATACAGTTTTAAATATCAGTTCAAAATGGCATATTTAGCCAAGTTACAAGGCATTATAAAAGGTACACATATGTTAAACTCTTAGTGAGGCAGAAATAGATTTTTACGCTAGTCACTGAGGAATGGGTCTAGCTTACTTTCCATAAGAGACAGATTTCTATATAATATTTATAAGAGCTTATGGTATACTCATTAAAAGTGAAAAAAATAACTTAAAAAAATCCACACTTTTGTGCTCAAAGTGGATACTTAAGCTAAAAGTGAGCTCACAGTACAGTCACTGATAAACTCAAGTCAAATTAACCATTTCTTATAAATATGCTAGAGTAATGAAATAAAATGTAAGAAACGTTATCTCAGCAGCTGGATCACAATGATGGCAGGAGAAGTATCTGGTATGAAATCCCTGTCTGAGCAGGAAGGATGACATAAGAACCAACAGAGAGTGGCTGGATGGCCCATGTGATGTCCATTATTACCCAAGAAGCAGTCCCGGGGCAGTTCATCTGCTGTAAGAACAGAGGGCTGATGGTCTGTGATGACAGAACCTACACTTTGGGCTTACCCAAAGTAAAGAGAAAGGCATGTTGGGATAAGGTAAAATAATCTGTCTAGGTCTTACTCAACGAATACACTGGAACACTCAAGTAGAAAAATAAAATGGACTCCCGAGCACTGCCTAATTCTCAAAGCGCATTAAACATCATTCATCTTCTCAGGCAAATGTAGAATCATCTTCTAATTAATCCCCTATTTTCCCATCTCACAGACCTCTTACTGCTGCCATTTAGAAAAGAAAGAAGAGAAAGATGGCTTTCCTACAGCATCTCGGGCCCCTTAAATATTCTCCCTTTAACAGCAAACTGTGTTGCTTCAGGAATGTGGTTTGACAAGTGAAAGCAGCAGCCAGAAATGTGGCAATGAGAAACCATCTCCCATTTGGAGAACACTTGAGAGCTCATAAACTGCTTTCATGTATATTCTTTCACTTAAGCATCAATACAATGATATGCAATAGGCATAATGACTATAGTCCTACTCTTTATATGTCTAAGAGCTGTATCTCACACAGATTAACAGACTTGTTCAAGATCACACAATTATTGAGTAGAAGAGCCACGATTTCAATGCAATTCTGTCACCACTCCACCACAATGCTGGTTCTTACACAAACTGTGAACACGTGACCTCTGAGACCCATAAAAATATGCTGGAGGAACAATGATTTTACATGAATGATATTAACGTCACTGAAAGCTATGGCACCCACTTCACAAAGAATTAGGTCTTGGCATTTATCAAGCCAAAGAAAGAATTTCATATAAGGTTTTGTGTGCAGCTCACTATATTTTAACTGATTTTGCCCATGCTATTACAATCAGGCATAATACTACAAACATACATTTCAAGGAAATATTAAGGGATTACCTTGTACTGATTTCTTCCTTGACATCCACCCAGAAGTAACAAAAATATCTTATTCATAAAGCAAAATATTAACTTTAACTTACACTTTAAAAATTCTAATGACAGAATTCCTACTAGTGATTTACATACACATTGTACTATGTTAAGGGAGGAAAAAGTCCAGTTCAAATTCCTCCACTAGGACTGAGATCTGAGATCATCTAACAGCTAGGTTAAAAATATTGACATGAAAGTGGAAAGGAATTAACTTCTATAGAGCAACTATTGCATGCCATTCTTTGTGCTGATGGTTATTAAATATGTATATACATATTTCCCAGGAATCTTCACAATAACTTTATGGGATAGAAGTTATTAAACTCATTTAATGATAAGAAAACTGAGGATTGAGAGATAAAAAGTAATTTCTCTGAAGTTACCCACCTAATAAGCAGCAGAGTTTAGTTTCAAACCAAGGTCTATTCACACCAAAGAACATGATTTTAACTCCTTTATATGATAACATATGTCGATTCAGCTTTTCCCTCTACTAATTTATTTAAAGAAACCAAGATATATGTTTTTCCCACATGAATCTCTAACAGCAGAGCACACTATGAGGGTATTTCATCCTAAGATCAAAGTTTAAATTAAGCTTTTTTTTTTTTTTAAGACAGAGTCTCACTCTGTTGCCCAGGCTGGAGTGCAGTGGCACAATCTCGACTCACTGCAACCTCCACCTCCTGGGTTTAAGTGATTCTCATGCCTCAGCTTCCCAAGTAGCTGGAATTACAGGCACATGCCACCATGCCCAGCTAAATTTTTTGTATTTTTAGTAGAGATGGGGTTTTACCATGTTGGCCAGGCTGGTCTCAAACTCCTGACCTCAAGTGATCCACCAGCCTCCCAAAGCTAAATTAAGGATTTGATAAGCTATATGAAGTTGGAGAGAAGAAGAATGTTATTCATATATGTATTTCTATCTCCACCTTCCACCCTTTGCTTTTATCTGATTCCTGCTTACCTCCTGGCAATGGATACTGGTATCCTCATCGCCTTTACAATCAATCACGTGTAAAAGATATAAAGAATAAGGTGGCACCGCATGGGCTATTATTTTCCTAAAGTGGCATGAAACTAAAAACTTGAAAAGATAGGGACTCATACGTGTAAATACTAGTCATTTTGAAAATCATTTTTCTTAAAATCTTTTTCCAACACCCACAGACAGAATCACTGAAAAGACTTTTACGCTTTTTAGCAAAGTGAAGAAATGCTAAAGGATGGGGAAAGCACTAGCAGAGACCCAGGGCCTTGACTCTCCCCGCATGAGTCACTGCCACTTGGAAAATAGGAATGAGGTTTCCATGATTAAACACAGTTCCTAAAAGCAAGAACCCAGATGCATCCAAAATACCCCTCTCCAATTGGGGAATGTGCTGAAAAAAGGAGGAATGGAGGAAATATTAAATAAATGTTAGTTTTACACAAAAGGCTAAAAAGAATACAAATAATGAAATGGTCTGAAGGTAGGTAGACCAGACTTCTTGCCAAGCCCAATGAGACAGTGGACCCTACTCTGAATATGAGTGTCTAGCATCCCCTAGTGGCTGGTGCACATTAATCAAAAAAAAATTTTTTAACAGGAGTATGTATCACAACCTTGTTTCTGGAACTAAGACTCTAGATATAACTTACCCCTATCCATTTGAAATGGTGTGAAGGGACACCCGTCGTAGCCCCACACCACTGAAAACCTTAAGCTTCCCCCCAACATATATATGTTAGAAATGGGGGTGAATAATGAAGGCCAGAAGCGTAGCATCAGGAGATCTCATGTGAGCTTTTTCCTGGGGACCCCAACAGCTCTAGAGCTTCAGCTAAAGGCCTCTGCATCTGCAATGGCTGGACTTCTTACCCATTTTAGCACCTCCAAATACAGAATCCTAACCATAAATCAAGCAATGCTAAAAATGCTTTTATTATCTAAAATAATAATCTGATAAATGATTATAATCTAATATATATATTTATATCATCAAATATTGACATTTATTTCCGCTAAAATCATTCATCTGTTAACATAATTCCATTCATTTAGTCAGCTGACAGATATTTATTGAGCTCCTACTATGCAGGCATTATTCTAGGCATAGCAGTAGACAAAACAGAAAAAATTCCTACTTTCATTGAGCCAACATCTTAGAGGGATAAAAAAACAACAAAGATACATTTAATTTAAAATATAAGCTGTTATGGGGGGGTATTTCTTTCTTTTTAACAAGTTTAAATAGAAAGACCAGGAAAAATATCAATGAAAAAGATATTTTTAAATAAAAACCTGAAGAAAGTAAGGACATTAGCTATGCATATAATGATGGAAGATCTGTATTGGCACAGGGAATCGCGAGTACAAAGGTCTTAAAGCAAAAACATAATTGGGTGTGTTCAAGGATCATCAAAAGGGCCTGTGTGGCTGAAATAGGGTACATGAGGAAGAGTCAAGAAGGCCAGATGATGTAAGAGCCATTATAAGGACTTTGTCTTTTACTATCTGACTAAAGCAGAAAGCCATCAGAGGATTTTCAGCAAGGGAGTAATAGGACCTGACATGTTTTACAAGACTACTCTGGTTACTATATAGAGAACAGGCTTTAAAAGTTGGCCTGGGGAAGTAGAAGGACATAAGTAGGACGGCCAGTTAGAAGTCCATTACAGGGAGAGATGATGGGGGCTCACACAAGGATGGCCACAGTGAGGTGGTGAAAACTGGTCGGATTCTGAATATATTTTAAAGGCAGACCTGACAGATGTGGGATGTGAAAAAAAGAGTGGAGTCAAGGATTATAAGAAGATTTCAGCCTCAGTAACAAAGGATGTAGTTGCCATTGACGGAGATGGAAGAGACTGCAGGAGGAACTGGTTTGGAGAAAAATAAAAGCTCAGTTTTAGCCAGGTTAAGTTTGGAGATCTCCACTGAGATCTCATACTTAGAAACTACAATAACTAGAAATGTTACTAATAAATTCACAAGTTGTATTTACAATTCAAGCACAGTGTAAGATAAAGGAACAGGGCCATTGCGGTTGGGAGGAGGAAACCATCCCTAGAATCTCCCAAACAGCAGGCCCTAGCAAGCAACGCTGGTCCAGTACCATGGACAGCACCCAACACGCTGGTATGGACCAAATACAAAAAGAAAAACACAGAAGGTGCTAGAAATAATACATCCATGAATACGGTTAGTGAAACTCAATGCATCAATATTAATGGATACCACTGGGCTTTTTGTAGACATTTTGTTAGCTGCATCCATCAAATCACTATTATATCACATCAAAAGAATAAGCTTAGTGAATCTTTTTCTGTGAGCAATGACCATTTTCCATCTTTTTTTCTCAATTCCATCTTCAAACATATTTATTTATCTGTCTTTAAACACAATTTCAGAAAATCTGCTTTCTGAATGTTTCCGTCTTTCATAATTTTTCATATTTCAATTTTTCACTCTGTTACACTGTCTTTTGCTTATAAATATTGCTCCTTTCCCACTAATCTACGTTCATTATAAAATACCACATCAACCACAAAAGAGCGGAGAAAAGTGCAACTAACTTGCCCATAATAAGAGCTTGGCTGAGTTATAAATAATTACATTTCTCTGGCTAATGATTTGATTGGTTCAAATTCCTCAGTGATGTGCATTCCCAAGCCAGTTGATTTTGGCAACAGCTTCTATAATAAAGTAATTTTGTGCAATTTAAACTTGTTATTTAAAAATTAATAGCTAACATATTATACATAATAACACTTAAATCCTCCATGGAAACATCAGAAAATGTCCAGTCAATAGGTTGCACATAATTGAAAACCCAAAATCACATAATTCCCTTTGTAAAAGCTGAAGATATATGCAGGAATATTTTTAATCATTTATCAAAATGGTATTAGTGTTAATTATGTGTAAATATGTTAATGTCCATAATTAAGTGTTCCAAATTTTCACACCAAGCTGGGATGCTAGTTACTGAAGACTAACTCAAGGTCTAACTTGGTCCAGAAGGGGCCGTCATATGTGAGGCCTGGACATCTTCCTAGTTCTTCTTACTACAGAATCAGTTATGTCTTATCTATCACAAAATGTCTGTTCTGCTCCTTAGACATTTGTGTCTAGTTAATTATATGACATGAGGCAGTGTGGTGCCATTTTGGATGTTGAAAAAGTTTAAATTCCAGATTTTCCTTTTTACTGAGCATCACGTAATGTTTCTTAGTCTCACCTTACATATCAAGAAATGAAATAATTTATATTTCAGAGTAGTTGAAGGACCAAATGAAATCATGTACATAGAGAATCTAGCACAGCGAGGCCCAGAGCAGTCCCTCAATAAATATTAGCTCTCCAGATAGTTAAGGGATTCAGTATTTGTTTGTTTTCCTAAATGTTTGACTTCAAGTAGATTGTCAAACTAATTATTAATTTTCCTTCCTAAACCAATAGCAGCTACTATCAGATTCCTTAAGTAAAAGAGTTGGAATAAAAATGTAGACAGTTGGGATATATAGCTTCCTATGTTACTAATTGATACCAGTGAAGTTATTTTGATGATACCACGGTAAAAAGATAATTTATGATAAGAAATAAACAGGAGAAAACACACCATTTTATAACAAAAAGTTCCAATGCCATATTGTTTTTCAACAGAAATCTATGCACAATTTGCATGAAATACTTTTGCCCTTCTAGATATTAAAAGTCCTTTTGAAAACAGATATCAATTAAGTTAAAAAATAAAACCAGCACACTCAATTTCAACATTTTTAATATAGCTCCTTTGTCACTGAGTCCTCTTAATCTGCCAATACTCAAATTAAAACAAAATATATGGCATGGGGGTTTCTATGACAACTTAAATTTTCCGGTCTGTGAAGCCATTTCCTCTGCGAAGTAAACATTCAGAGCTTTGTGTACTTCATTGATAAGATCTTCCCCACTGGCTGCCAATGTTGCTTTATGCATCACACATTTGGGTGTTTTGGAGAAAATCTGATTTCATCCCCATCTGTGACAAACTGGCATTATTCAGAGTCACATTTCTGTAGAATACAACACTCTCGCTAAACCAGCTAATGTGACACTGTACCCTGAGTCTGGAAGTCATCTTAAGTCCATTTGAGGAAAACTGATATTTAGAAAATCTGTATATCTACAAATTTAAACTAAATAGAATGTTTGGCTAAAGTTTTTTTTTGTTTGTTTGTTTGTTCTTAATTTGCAATGCTGTCTTTTTATTGCTTGTTCAAGTTCCTAGTGGAATTTCAGAATCTTGGAAAGGAATCTTTAAAATCTTTGTTCATTCTTTTACTCATTCAACAAACATTTATTGATCTCTTACTCTGCAGTACAGGGTTCTTCTCTTTGAAAATGAGAAGTGTGAGACTTGGGGGATGAGTCACATGACTGACTGACAGTACAGTCAGGTCAAGCACCAGATCTTCCTGCTTCTAATCCAGTACTCTTGTCTCCAGCGGTCTCCTGACAGAGCCTCAAAACTCCAAGTTGCACAAAACAAACTCAGGAATCTCCCAGGCTTAATTTTTATGTCAGTGTTATTTTTCTATTACTCATCTGCCCACTCATATCCAGAAAAATGCTCAAGCAACATTAGAAGGGATTATCTTTTAATGGCACTTTTTATAAATAAGATTTGTAGCATTTTTACTCCTATTGGCTGACTGGTTACTGTATGAAAAATCTAATTATCTTTGCTATATGTGAACTATTCTAATACAGTATGTGTTTTTGTGAACTGTAATTGCCTACCCATTTCATCAAATACACATTGTGCATAGATAATAGCTCCTTCTCCAAATAGATTTTATTGCAGTGGCTACCTACAGAGTCACCACAAACTACAAGACATAGGTTTTTCAGATTTAATAATTATTTGAAGATTGTGGTTTGTAGTTCCAATCCAAGTGCCCAATGGGGGGAAAAACATGATAGGACATTTATGAAAAAAATAGATTTACTGGCTTATACAAATACTAGTTTTAAAATTGTTTAATATAAAATTGTTTTAAAACATCTGGCTCGTGATTTTAGTCTATGGAAAGACTGTAAACCTTTTGCAATTTCCCGGATTTCTATCTTTTATGTAAAAGTGATAGATAGAAGCAATATATGTCCCAACTCGCTTGTATGCAAAAACAAAGCAAGAGGGAAAATGAAAGGTATGAAAAAGGAGAAGAAAATTTAGCATTTAAATGACAAAAAGGGGTGGCCTTCCACCTGTAAGTGAAATAACAGATATTTTACCAATCCTTTTCTTTCTTGTGATAATCCACTTATTATTTCTTGTGATAATCCTTTTCTTCCTGAATTTGGCACAGATTTGAGCTGGCTTGCCTTAGAATTTGCCACATATATAAGTAAATGAATTTTAAACTATAAAAAAAAAGTCATTTGGCTTCCATTTCCTCATAAAGTACAGTGAAAGGTGGTATTTTTATGCCTGCAATAAATGGAATATTTACATAACACAGGGAGAAGGTGGCAAAGATGACATTGAACCTAAGTACAGTTGCAGCATAAAACAACTTTTGTGGTGTTATTCATTATCTGTAAATATCTGATTTTTTTTCAGAAATACACACTTGAATGAAAAGGTTGAGGTTACATTTCTTTAGTGTATATGTTGTTTTAAAGCAAATAATGCAGAAAGAGAAGGAAAAGAAAATATTACGCAAAGCAAAATACAGCAAACGGTGAGATCTGAAAAGAAATAACAAAACAAATGGAAATATATCAAATTTTGCAACGTCAAGGAAGAGAAACATGAGAATCCTAAAGTTACCACAAAGGAAGTACGAGTAAGACAAGAGCCCCAAAGATAAGGGGAACATCTAATACAATTTTTATTGATTCCTACTGGAAGATCAAGTTTCTTCTACCATCTTCCCCTCCTCACCTCACCTTATCAAGTAATAAGCCATGGCTGATCAGATTTAAGACTTACTTTTGTTCTCCTCCCAGTGGTTAAGGTAATGCCCAGTTACCATTCTCTTTTTTCCATCCTCTTTACCTATTGTTTTGGATTTCTTTGGAAAAAATTTGCCTCCTGCCTTTCTGTCTCGCCCTGTGCGTGTGTGTATGTGCGTGTGTATGTACAGCTTTCTCTCTTCCACCATCTTTCTCACACTCTGTGGCCAGGTCCAGGAGCTGCCGTCTCCCTTAAGAAGACCTGAACAGGGTGACTGCTAAGTCTTAAAACAAATGGTCTCTGTCACTTGTACACTGGAGCTCTTGATTTTCTTCGAATCGTAGTTAGACTCGAGTTGGGACTTTGGGGAAAGAAGTGAAGAAAAACCTTCTACCTGCTGACTGGTCAAGGAAATCCAGCTTTGTTGAGTAGTTCTCCACATGATCCAGCCTAGCTGACTGTGGCTCAGCAGCACAGAGGAAGCACAGGCCTTTGCTGATAACAAAGGGTCACTTTATTTGCCTTGTTTAGGTTTTGGTTAAGCTGCTCAAAAGATCCACATCTCTTGAGCTGTTTCTTGTTATTTTTATTTTGTTTTAATTTGTTCTGTTCTGTCCAAGAGTAAAGTAAGATTCTATTTGGTGAGTGTGGTCAGGATGGGAGCTGTGGACCAGAACACTAAAGATGCCCAAAACTGTTTTTCCATCAAGCAAAGGACTGGGCATTGATGGGGATGTGGAGGAAATGAGCACTTTCATATAGTGTCTTTGGGGAGGGGCAATTTGAGAATATCCATCAAAATTTAAAATATGCCTAACTATGGAATGATCAGTTCCATTTCTAAGTGTTAATACTACGGCAATGTCAGCCTACATACTGTAAGATATATGTACAAAAATGTTCATTAACTTGCTGTTTATAACTGTAAAACATTGGCAATAACCTTATGTTTATCGATAATGGAAGGCTTACCTAAATTATGGCGTTTTGCATCTGTGGTCTGGAGTACCACACTGCTGCTATGAAGAATGAGGTGGACCTATATATCCTGACACGTAACACTCTTCAAGACAAACTCATTGAGAACAGTAAGTTGGAAAATCATATATATTGTGATAAATTTACATTTTTTTAACTTCACATATGTGACTCTGTCTTCATCTCTATTCTTTCTCTGACTCTATGATTACCTGAAAGCATATTCTCCAAGGCTGGTATTGGGATAGCAGAAAAATGAACTGAGTCATTTTATTTTTATTCTTCCATTCCAAATCGATTTTTAATAATAACCATATATTGCTTTTATAGTTTAAGAAATTAAGTACTATTCTGGACATACCTGTTTAAAAACTTCTGTCTAACAAATAGCACTAAGAGAAAGGCAAGGCCTTCCTCATTGCTCCAGCCACTGATATCTACCATCCCAAATGAAGCTCCTCCATCACAGTTGTTTTATTAGTTCCTGAAAATTTACTACTAAGTTTTGATTACCATTTGGTGGCATATTAGGGTACCATATGGCAACTGACTAGACACAACTACACTGTGTAAGCCATTTCTATAAATAAAGCCAGTGAAAATTACCTCCAGGGCATCAACAGGTGAATTCGTGAGCCAATCCAAAATATAGGAATGTCCCTTTAGTTTCGACAACCATCAGCGGTTTCATTCAAAAGTGTGCTGGCCATGGCATAGTCAAACAGAGAGTGCAAGGGAAATCAGTTCCAACAACTAGCTATAATGCTGACCAACAAAAATAAGATACAAGAAATGATGCCCAGCTGAGCACAGTGCAAATCACCGGACTTTGCATCGTTAATGAGAAAGTCCACCCAGCACAATCAGGGTCAGGATGACAAAGCAGAAGGAAGAGCAGCATCCATCACTTTATCATTTTCCTCATCAGCACATGAAAAAATGATTAACATTGCAACCCAGCATTGCAAACCCAGGATGAATAGGCCTTCAGGAGACACTTTGGGGTGAAACCCACTGGTGGAGGTAGTTCAGAATCTCAACTGCTGGCTTACATTTTGCCTATGCACTCGTTTTGTTTTGAGGGAGGAAATATTAACTGACATAGCAGTAGAGATAGAACTGCGCAAGTACTACTGACAGCTCTAAAACACTCAATTTATTTTATCATGGGGAGTTAGAGATAAGCTTGCCGACTTACATTTTTCTCAATTCTGAGGCATGCATTTGGCTTTCCTTGAGACAGTAATGCCACAAATACATTTCAACACAGAGTTTTTAAAAATGTTGTGTAATCATTCCCTGCTTGTGCTCTGTCAATTCTCATGCTACATAATAATCAGGTAGGGAAAGAAGGGCATTTTTTTTTTTTTTTTGAGAAACCGACTTTCTTGCTGGGGTGAATGGGGTAAGAATAAAACCAGGAGAATCATAAATTAACTGTTTGAAAGAGTTTACTTGGTAATAAAATGGAGTAAGATTTTAATAGGTTGAAGAATGAATGGATTCCAACAATGTGGTAGGCTGAGGTCAGGTGGGAGGGCCCCCCCTTCTGCTCTAAACATCTAGAAATGTTAGATGAAAAGAGCCACACAACCACGAAAACTATAAATGCCAAACTAAACTGGAAGGAAGGGAGAGAGAAGCAGAAAAAAGGGAAATAGAGGGAGGGAGGAACCCAAAGACAGAGCCTATAATATGCAGAAAGGTCAAGGGCAGAGAGTTTACTTAGAGACTCTACATGCCAGATACCAGGGATCAAAAGACAAATAAGACACGGCCCCAACAACTAAGGAACTTGATTTGGGCTTCAACTTGGGCACCATTCATGGTGATTCAAGTGTGCATGGAGTTGGAGTAAGCAAAACAGAGAAGGAGAAATAGGGAGAGGAAACAAGACAAGAAGAGGAACTTACTCAGTTTCTCCTTCTACAGCCATCTCAAGTCTCGCATGCTTTCATCACAGTTTTTTAAAAAAAATTTTGTCAACAAATTAAAAACTCAGAAAAAATGTGATTGGTATCTATGCTGTTACTTTTGAAACCTGTTCTCAGGTTCTTTAAGTCAAACTTTATTTCATAAAAAAGTATAGAGCAGCGAACCTATCATCACTAATTACCACCAAGAATTTTAAAATATACATTTCCTCCAAAATAATTTAGAATTATACTAGCAGTGATGCTTGTTTTGAACTGGTCTCAAGTCATAAAATTGAGCACACTAAAATATCATTTTTATACCACTGATGAATCTTACTTTAAATCATAGGGATATACATATATAAATCCCAAAGTTGCTATTAGCTGAAATATAGTTTTCAACTGAATTACAGTATTTAAACTCTCCAACATTACATAGCTTTTCCCCTTTCCTATCTATATTGCTGGTACCTATCTACCTGACAGCATTGGTAAACTGTCCCTTTACTGAAAGAATAAATATTTTAATCTACTGTGGGTTTTCTACAGTTATATTTAACTTACATTTGGGAATGCTGAATTAGAAAAAGTACAGAGTAGTAAATTTTGGCTATATTTATTCTTCTCTGTTTATGTTATATAAGACATTGAAAATTACTATTGCATCATTTAAACACCTACTAGACAAAAAAAATTCATCTAATGTCATTACTCAGGTTATTTAAAATAGAAATATATATATACACACATACATATATATATACACATATATATATACACACATACATATATATATACACATATATATATGATCAGCCTAAGTTTGAGAATGATAGATACATAGGGAAGAGGAAGAAACCATCATAAATTAGCTAGCCCAAGGATCCTCAGTTTTAGCACTACAAAAATTTTGAACTGATAATTCTTTCTTGTTAGGACCTGTCCTGTGTATTGCAGGATCTTAGCAGTAGTGCTGGCCTCTAGCCACTAAATATCAGGAACATTCCCCAGATTATGACAATCAAAAATATCTCCAGATATTGTCAAATGTTCTCTGGGAGGCAAAATCACGATTTGTTGAGAACTACCAGCCTGTAGATTTGGAAGCTGAATCCAGAAAGGTTTAGCAATTTATTCAATGTCACAAACCTAGAGTAAGGCATCCCTGGGCATAGAGCTAAATGATCTGAATCTTAGACTGTTCTCTCAACAGTGCCTATTTCTCCCATTAAACATTCTATTATTATTTGTTTTAATTATTTATCTAGTTTATAATGATGAAGCTCAGAGATGACTGCTAAAGTATTATTATTGACACTATTTAATATCAGGAGCTATTCTAAGCAGCACTGTAACTATCTGATTTAGTGAATAAAGTTGAAGGGTAATGGGCTGAAACCAGCACAAAAAGGGGGCTCTGTTACTTGACCTCAACTTAGCCAACAATCTCCATTCCCTTTATTAAACATAAAGACTGATACCCACAGCTCACCAAGCCTCATAGCTTAAGTTGTCTAATCTTTAGAACAATGGTCCATTTCCCTTCACTTTTTTAAAACTATAGTGTTTAACAAGAATTACTTGTGCTCATTTCCAAAACTTTTTATGTCATTCATACTTATTATTATAACTATATAATTTTAATTAAGTACCATGTAAACAAATGAAATGTAAATGTAAAAAGAAAGTTGGTGTTTCTATTTTTAAAATAAGCTAAAAGTTTAGGAAACACTTTATAAGGCTGAGTCATACATTCAATAATAAGTAATAATAATAATAAGGGAAATCATGAAATCTTTAATGAAATGATTCATTAAAGTTAGATGAATTCTGCACTAGGATTGTCTTCACAAGTGTCTATGTCCTTATAGGTAATGAATTCCAGGCATGATTATGCAAAAAAGAAACTGTAAAACAAAAAAATTAATGAATTATTACTTGAAGTAAAACCCTTAGCCCCCACCAAAATATTAGCAAATTAATTTTTGTTTTAGGTTAAAATAAATTGTTCAAGAAATGCATGTATCATATTGTTTTAACTATTCCCTCATTTAACCATCTTTTTCCACTGACCAACGAAATTAGTCCTAAGCATTTAGGATAAGAGGTCTTCTAACTGTATACCTGGCAATGTTAAGAAAGTTCACAGTATGAAAATCAATGACCAGTTTAGCAGACATAAACATGGAATCCAACAACTGAACAATAGTTTCTTTCTGTCACTCGTGGCTATAAAGTTTTCCCATCCTTTGGTAAGGAGACTCGGTAATTATATTACAGTAAAACCCACATTTTACATATATTATTTTTTTAGATAAATGGCTAAGTTGGCTGTTTAGTAAACCTGCATATAGCTTCATTAGAATACTGCTTTGAATCTCCTCAATTATTTTCTTTTCAATATCTCAAATCATGTCCAAACCCAAGAAGACCTAACTAGGCTCTAACTAGGCTAAGCCTAGGCAGGGATTACTCTAGGTTGTGTCTGCTGGAAACCAGTTATATTATTAATATACCATAGATAAAGCTAGAATATAAAATACATGCATGCCTGTTTTGACCTTAGCAAATAGGCAAGTTTTACAAGTATACCCCAGAGCCAGATAATCAAGCATTTTTTAATCTTTTAATATATATGTTGAAAGATCTACATAGCATATACTTAAGGAATTATATAAATGCCTAATCATATTGCTCATTGAATTTTATATCTTCCCACATTCCTACAAAATAATGACCCAAAGGCAAATTGGTATTTCAAATCTCTACATTCAAGAAAACTGTTCCTAAGTCATTCCCCACAAGATAAATATCTAAGTTTTTTTAAATATCTGAAATCAGATGTTCTAATCTCTATTTTTTAAAAAAATAAAATTTACTCAACAACAACTGAATTTAGAGGGCTAAGAACTCTGGACATATACCAAAGAAAGAGAAAACAATTCTCAATTATAAGAAACTTACAATTGAAAAGTTTAGAAAAGTGAACAGTATTGTAAAAATATACACATCAAAACTTGAAAATAAGTGCAGAAACTTCCTTGCAATGTTCACAGAAGATAAATTATGGTATAACAATCACAGTACAATGTGCTAGAATCCAAACCATCCACCTTTACAAATAGCCTTATTTATCAACACCTTCTCCTTTCTCCTTTATAAACAGTTGAAGTCCTATTGACTCTAATTTCTACTATTTCTTAAAATCCATTCACTTCTAACTGTACTGCCACTAACTTATTCTAGTCTAATCTAGTGTCTAGTTTACCTCATTTCCAGAATGAATTATTCCCATTGCCTCCTAAATGAGGCATCTATATCCACTCCTTGCCTCTTCCTTAAATATTTCATACTCCTTCCTACCACAGGGCCTTTGTAATATGCTGTTCCCACTATCTGAAATATTCTTTGACCCATTCTCAACTGATAATGGACCACTCATCTTTCAGATCTTTCATCAGAGAATCATTCCCTCCAATTAAATTATGCTTCCACAGTTATTCTCTCATGCCATTTGCCTGTAACTCATAACAGTGATCATAATTTGTAATTATATATTACTCATGTGTCTGTTTCATGCGTCTATCCCACTGAACTCTAGACTCCATAAGGACAGAGATTGTACCATACGAGTTCACTACAGTCATTTTAAATAAATTAATGAATTAATGAAATAATACTATGCCATGCATTCAGTACTACGATAGTTATATATTTTAAATGCTTTGGGAACACAATTTAAGAAATTAAAGAACACAATTAAGAATAATTAAGAGTTGAGTTTAAGAGGTTTTAAAAATTAACTTCATTGTCTTTAAAAGTTTATCAAACTTCACTCCATAGATCCTACCTGATAATCTACAAGATCTGTTTCTGTACAAAAGTTGCATAAATGGATAAAAGTATTATTGCTTACTGCAATATTTAAATATGCCAAATTTTTAAGTTATTTATAGTTTTGTGATGGCAAATACTCAATTTTGTCCTCAAAAGACTTTCATGTTGGCTGGAAAAATACATATGCATAAATTCACACACACAAACACACACACACACACATATATATGTAAAGTTATTTGCTAAATAAAAAATATTATTTATTAACAATAGTATCTAAAATAATATTATTTGAAGGCTGGTAAATCTGAATTGTATTCTAGAGAAAATCAGAATTACCATTTATATACAATTATTTTCACACACTTTCAAAGTATATGAAAACAGGCTTGTACAAATTTATCACCTACGTAATCCAAATAAGAAAGTAAATGGCAGTATAGTAAATGAAATACCATGGATTTTGCAAAATATTGAATGTTATATGTTACACGCTTATGGTACCTAACAATGACTTTTAGATCTCTAGCTAGATCATAGATGTTGTCTATACAGAATATTCATATTTATCTACTCATCAATCAGTGTCAAATATCAAAAATACTTTGAAAGGCAAGTTCCAGGACTTGTCAAAGTCAATGATTATATCATTACGACAAATACTGGCCATGACAACTCTGAAAGCTCAGAAAAATACAGTAACTTGCTGAGGGTCAGGGAGAGATTTAAATTCAGGTTTATCAGATTTAAAGACCATACAATAATGTCTCCCAGATGGTCAAATGGCAAATGGTTCATTTTTCTGTCTAATCTCTAAGCACTACATTCTTACGTATCCAGAATAGTTAGGTAACTGATAACCATTCCCCCCACCATCACTTATGCACTTGCTCATGCCCTCTCTCTCTCTCTGTTTCTCCCCCATTCCCTCCAGGCATCCCTCTTGAGTGCATTCCAAAGTTAAAATGATCCCAGAGCATCCACCTGATCCATGATAAAATCTCACACATCTTCGTCCCACCAACTTGCGGCCATCTCCCTGCAGCCCCCTCTCCCACTTTGTTCTTAGCGGCAGCTCTCATCACAGCCTTCCACAGGTTCAGGTGAACCTCATGTCCCCAAACTCCCATCAGGAGATAATGTCAAGTTCAATAAGGATTCCTCTCACTTGGTTTGAAGTGAAGATGGAGTACCCTTCTCCCACCCTCACATTCACCAGGGCCCCAACATCAACCTCATACATATTATGGAGCAGACAATAACTAACTCCCATACAATGTTTTGTATGTTCTAAATAGGTAACTGATATGGGGGAACCTAATCTAGTATTCTTGGCCATTGGGATCTTAGCCAAAACTGAGATAGACAGAGTCCTGCCTTAACATGTGGTTATATTTGTATCAATAAAAACATATAAGGACTAGAAGAACATCAGAGTGGTTTTTTAAAAATAAAAATAGAAGATGCTAGCACTCATGCTTCCATAAATGATAAAATTCTGGCCCTGCCCCTCTTGTTTTCCTCCATCCTTACTGCTCTCTACGCATGTTGTCATATGAACTTGTAGCCCCTTAAATATTAGAAAAACATAGGAACATTCACGTAAATGGGCATGATAAATCGTATTGGGGTGACAAAAATGTTCTAAAACTGATTTATGATGATGACTTCACAACTTGGTAAACTTACTATAACTTATTGAATTCTATACTTGAAATGGGTGAATTATATGATATGTAAATTATATCTCAATAATTTTTTTAAAGTTTGCCTTTACATAAGGCACCACAAAAAAATTCCTGGAAACTACAGAGTATATAGTATACCGTTTTCGAGAATTAAAGATCTTCCTATTTGGTAGAGGAATCATGGATGCAATCTGTTAGACTTATATTAAAGTAAATATAAAGTAGTGGTAAGAACAGGGAGGGGAGTTACAGCTAGAGGCTGACCTAACACTTGAGGTCGATGCAAGAGCTAGAGGACTGATTGAGAGCCATATTACATGCAGTAGATGAGTGGTCTTCAAACATGTTTGCTCACGCATGGCCCAAAGATTCAAAACAAAACAAAACAAAAAGCTATGTATCCCCTTCTGAAGATCTGCCCCAACTCAGTGAAGTTTTAAGTTGACTTCATCATAAGCTTATAGGATTACAAAGAATATAATTTATGGCATACATAAACATTGAGGTTTTAAAACACAACTGTCATATCCCACATTCAACCATTTTTAAGATATCTGACCAAGCTCAAGCTCCTTTTTATCAGTTGGAAAATTTACATCGCTAGTTTTTCTCCTTTAACTCATATCCAGCCCACTTCCCCACAGAGTTTTATCCCAATGTAGCATATGTTTATATTGGAAAGTCTTTTATTGTTCACACTACCATACTTCTCTGCAAAGAAATATTTCCAATTGCTGCTCTGTTTGGTGCCCAGGCTGTTTTTACACCCCTGCACAATGCACTATAGTAAGATCTGAGATGGATAAGAAGGATGCCTTGCTTTGCTAAAATGGAAAAAGAGGGATTGTAAACGGGAAGGTGAGAAATGAGACTGAGCATCCAATCCAGACTCTGGGAATTCATTCCCTTCAAACCTTCTGTACTTTGCTAAGTGTTTGGGTTCCCTGCCCCAAAAGGACCTATTTAAAGCCCTTGGAGAGGATCACCCATTTGTCTGAGCAATAACGTGGGTCCAAACAATTTTCTATGCATAATCCTGGCTGAGCTGCTTGGTTCTCCCATGCTTCCCCTGGAAATAAGGAGGGCAACCTGCTATTCAGGTAAATGTCTTTGCTAGGCAAGTCAGCTTCCTCATATGGATGCTAATACCAGCTTTCATTTGACACTGCTAGGACGCCAGGTCTCTCCTTAACTAGCTACACAGAATAGTAGCTACACTGTAGGCCCTTACTTGCTGGAGAATAGTGCCACTTCAAGTTCAATGTTAAAAAACAATTTTCAAAGCTTTATTTGAGATAAACAATACACAGGAAAGATTGCTTAAAGACAAGTAGTCCACCCACTTTTCATATCCCTGAGTCAAACTGACCAGCAGAGAACTGATTCCTAAACAGAACCTTGCCGACTGCTTTTACAAAATTTTGCCTTGAGGCAATGCTATTAACACAAAATTGTCTTATGAGAATCAGCCTTGCAAAGCTTGATGATTTTCATAACGAAACACAATGTACTCTTCATAGGGACTCCTGGGAGAAATTCTTATCTGATGTTGGTGCTAAGAGTATGGTTAAAATCAACCTGAGCAAATGGTTTATCTTTACCCCCATAAGCCTGTTCTTTTCCCTCTGGCTGATTGAAAGCTTAAAGCCTTTAAAGGTGGCCTCTGTATCTTACATGTAAGTCATTCTGACATGCAATTTAATTGTATTCCTGCTTTCATTTTGTTCCCACCTCTTCTTTACTTCTGACCTACTTTTACTTCATATTATTATGTATGTATACACATTATTATGTATGAATAAGGTAATATATATATACATAAATACAAACATATTGGAGTTTTATCCTATAATCTCATGCTGCCTCTACATCCAGAAAGGCAACAGAGCTACTTCCCTATAAAATATTGCCTGTTTTGTAAAGCTTGGAGTTATGAATATGCTGAAGACTGTCACATAAAATCAAGTGGCCAAGAACACAAGGCACCATCATCAGGGTCTCTAAAGCAATTCAAACCTAAACTAGGTATAGAATTACTTAATCAACAGAACAACAACAAAGCAATAACAAGAAAATGCAAAACCCAGTTCTAGATTTCAATCGACAACCATGTTTTGAGCTCCTACTTTATGCCAGATGCTGAGCTAAGTGTTAATAGTTAAAAGGAAAATAAGAACGATTCATGATTCAAAGTGCCTACTACAGTCTGTGGGGGGAGAGAAGAGGAATTACGCGTGTGTGTGTGTGTACACATATATGTGTGTGCATGTGTATATGTGAGTAGGTATGTGCATATGTGTACACACATGTGGTATATCATTAGCACTATGACATAAGTCTGTATAAGGTTATACAAAACAGGGGCCAGTTAGTGCTAACTATGGGGGCAAGAGAAGAAAAGCTTTATATCGACTACCATGGTTTAGGGGAGTCTATCTTATCCATCACTCTGGCTACAATAATAACTGAAGAGTTATTCAACTTTGTGACTCATGACGACAACAGCAGGTAAAATTAAGAAAGAATGAACCCACCTAATTACAATGAGGACTGTGCATGGTTTACTGTACAGTTAACTAAAGAATAATAATCTGCATCAAACTAGAACCTTTGGTCAGGTATGGCCAAGAGAACAGTGGCCACTCTCATTCAGTTCTGATTTCATCTCACACTGTGGAAATGTATCCAGTCCACAGTGACTGGCGCAGACTGTGGGTATGGTTTCCAACATCAATTTTGCAGGGGAACTCTGAATCCTTATAAGCAGCCCAAAATCCTTCAAAAGTCAGGGTCTGACAAAAGGGGCACCTGGCTGGGAGCCATAAAAAACTTTTACAAATGTCAGTTTCATTATATAACATCACCTGATTTACAAAAATATACTTATTTGAAACTGATAGCACTGCATCACTCAAGAATATCTTCCAAAGATAAGGGAACTAGCCTGACTCAAGTCTCCAGAACATCTTATAACCCTTTGCTAATGGAAAAAAAGTATCTCGGCTTTAGAAAGCCCTTTCTCTTGATTTTAGCTAAAAGCAATTGGATATGTGAGGTAATTTATAATTTTCAGCCATATTTAATTCATTGACCCCACATTCCCAAGATCTATGATCTATGAGTCCGTTTCTGTGACCGCCCAAATTATTCCTCTCCCATGTCAGTCCAAAAAGGATGTCAATTTCTTGTATTATCAGGGCTTTGATTACTATTTCCTGAAAATTCTCAGGCTCCGAAATTGCTTAAAGCTAAATTTAGATGTGGCTTCTATAAATTTTATTGCTCAAGAGTAGACACCATTTACGTACTTCTGATTGACCCTATTTAATACATCCTCCCAGAGGCAATTTCAGGAATTCTCTATTTAGTCATGTCACACAATCCAGTGTGGCTCATAAGTATACAAATAATAAAAGTTTAGCCTGCAAGAGTTCATGATAGTGTACTCATCATATTGACCTATTGACCATATGGACTGCTCTTGCTAAAGTGACCCTCCCTGGCTATACTTCCCTCATCTCCCTTTAAAATATTGTATGTCTACACTTAGCAGTTATCTAATCTACACTTAGCAGTTATCTAATCTACACTTGCCCATTTTACTTCCTATGCACACTTTCCTGTATCCTTCTAGTACCAAGTTCAAGACAGATCCATAGTTCTACCACCTCTCACCACCTCCAGAATCACTATCCTGGTCCATCATCACCTCCCTTTCTGGACCTCTGCACCAGCCTTGTAACTGACCTACTTACACCCTGACTCCCTCTATTCTCCACACAGCAGCAGGTGAGATCCTCTTAAAGGCTGCCAGTCAAATCATGCTACTGCCGTATGAAAAATAATGCCCTGGCTCCCCATCTCATTCTGGATAAAATCTAAATACTTAAGCCACCTCCTCCACCACTCTGCTCTAGCCCTTTTGGCCTCCTCATTATTCCTTAACCATGCCAAGCACAGTTCCTTCTCAGGGCCTCTGCACTGGCTGTTCCCTCTGCTTGGACACCATTTCTCTTTTGGATACCATTTCCCTGTGCTTGGACACCATTTCCCTGGCTCATACCCTCCCTCCCTCCCCAGCTCATGTCCTGATCAAACATCACCTTGCCCAGAGGACTATCCTGATCAGCATACTCCTAACCATGTTCCCTTTCCCTTTCATCCTGCTGCATTCTGCTTCATCATATACCACTGCTTAACATATCAACTTACATATCACCTTATCAGGCTCTTCCCATTTGAATGGGATGGCTTTGGGAGTGGGGAGCATATCTGTCTGGCACACTGCTGCATGCCTAGCATCCAGCACAGAGCCTAGCATACAGGTGATTCTAATAAATGATTGTTGAATGAATAAATCTTCCATAGGGGCTCTCTGTCATTCCTAATGTCACTGTCCTAGTTTAAGAGAAAACAGTCTCTAACTGGGCCCACTGTTATAATCTCCATACTTGTATTCCTGATTTTATACCCATACCCTTCTACTTTGCTCTCCATATGGCTACCAGAGTTATGTAGTCTACAATCTGACCTTTTCTTGCTCACAATTTGCTCCAGTGCCTACAGAATATAGCACAACCTCTTGCGCATGTCATATAAAGCCTTTGAGATCTGGCAGCTGCCTACTGGCTAAGCCTAATCTCCTAAGCCCCATAGACTGAATAACTTGTAACTGATTCATGCCCCAGTGCCTTTGCACTTGCTAGTTTCTCTGTCTGGAGAAGCCTCCCCTGATCTGCCCACCTGGCAGCAACTCATCCGAATGGTCTCAGTTCAGATGCTGGTTGCTCAGTAAAGCCTTCTTTGATTGCCCCAGGACAGCTTGAGGCTCTCCCACTCCATGTTCCAACTCTGCCTTGCACATATTTTCATGAAAGCACATTACCCTTTTTTTTTTTTTTGAGACAGAATCTTGCTCTGTCGCCCAGGTTGGAGTGCAGTGGGGCGATCTCTGCTGACTGCAATCTCAGCCTCCTGGGTTCAAGCAATTCTCCTCCCTCAGCCTCCAGAGCAGCTGGGATTACAGGTGCATGCCACCACATCTGGCTAATTCTTGTATCTTTAGTAGAGATGGGGTTTTGCCATGTTGGCCAGGTGGGTCTGGAACTCCTGGTCTCAAGTGATCCAGATCCACCCACCTTGGCCTCCCAGAGTGTAAAGCACATTACCTTATATTATTATAATTCTTTGTTTTCATCATTTCATTCCATCTCTGAGTAAACAGCAAATCTTTCAATGAAAGGGATCATGTCTTATTAGTCTTCATATTTCTAACATTTGGTCTATAGTAAGTGTTCATTAAGTGCTTACTAAGCTAATTAATTAATAGTCAATGAATTAATATAAGACAATGATATGGAACACTTTGCAAAAGAATCTCAGCAATTGGTGCTTTGAATTTGTGGGTGTGAAAAACACTTACTAAATTCAATTGCAAATTTAAAACAAATACGTTTTTATAGTTAGATCAACAATTCGAAATATAGGGTCAGAAGAGATAAAAGAAAAAATGAATCAATTACATTTACTTATGCAAAGTTTCAATATTTTTCCCCAGGTAATCTATTTTACGGTGTCAAAGAAACACTTCCATTCCTTTTTCACTCCTCAATACCTCTGCAAATATGTGAAGACTAAACAAATACTTATAAACCATGTCAAATAATGTTTTAAAAAATACGTGCCAAAATATATAGGAAGAATATCTTAAAACATTAACTAAGGAGATTCATAAAAGAAGATCTGAATAAATGGGAACATATACCCTGTGTGACGACAGGTTGGGTCAGTATCATAAAAAATTCTCCCAAATTTTTGCAAACTATACATCTGGCAAGGGTCTATATCTAGCTTCTGTAAGAAACTTAAACAAATTACAAGTAAAACACCCCCATTAAAAAGTGGGCAAAGGGCATGAACAGACACTTTTCAAAAGATATACATGTGGCAACGATAATATGAAAAAAAGCTTGACATCATTGATCATTAGATAAATGCAAATCAAATGAGACACCATCTCACACCAGTCAGAATGGCTATTATTAAGAAGTCAAAAAATAAAGGATACTGGTGAGGTTGTGGAGAAAAAGGAACGCTTATACACTGTTGATGGGAGTGTCAATTAGTTCAGACATTATGGAAGTCAGTGTGGCGATTCCTCAAAGACCTAAAGACAGAAATACCATTCAACCCAGCAATCCTATTACTGGGTATATACCCAGAGGAATATAAATCATTCTACCATAAAGATACATGCATGTGAATGTTCACTGCATCACTATTCACAATAGTAAAGATATGAAATCAACCTAAATGCTTATCAATGACAGACTGGCTAAAGAAGATGTGGTACATATATACCGTGGAATATTATGCAGCCATAAAAAGGAACAAGATCATGTCCTTTGCAGGGACATGGATGGACATGGATGGAGCTGGAAGCCATTATCCTCAGCAAACTAATGCAGGAACAGAAAACCAAACATCATGTGTTCTCACTTATAAGTGGGAGCTGAATGATGAGAACTCATGGACACACTATGAGGAACAACACACACTGGGGCCTGTCAGGGGCGGAGGGAAAGCATCAGGAAGAATAGCTAATAAATGCTGGGCTTAATACCCAGGTGATAGGTTGATCTGTGTCACAAACCACCCTGGCACACGTTTACCTATGCAACAAACCCACACTTGTACCCCTGAGCTTAAAAGTTAAAAAACACTCTCCCTAGATTAAGCTATAAATTTAATTTAACCCTTTCTCCAAAACATGATTGTTTTTTAGAATGAGACAATTTCTAAAGTTTATTCAGAAAAATAAACATGTAGGAAGATCAAAAAAAATCCTGGAACAAAAGGGTAATAGGGGTGAGGCTAGCCATATCATATATTAAAATTCATAAAACTAGAGTGATTAACACAGTGTGGAACTGCAACAAACTGGAAGTCAAGAAAATGGAGCAGACTCTCCAAAAATAGTTCTAACTACATAAGGGGATTTCATAGATGATGATACCCTTCCATGTCACCCCTGCCTTGGCCCAAGTAAAAATCATCTTTCTCAAGAATCACCACCTAGCCAGCAAGGAAAAGACACATCGTGCCTGAAATGTTTGGAGAGAACTAGGTAGTTGTTGGGGGAAAATAAAATGGAATTTCTATTTCATTACTAATCCAAAATAATTATGAATCAAATAAGTATGATTTTATTTACATAAAAATACAAAAGGAAATTGTAGAAGCATGACTTTTCAGAGTGGGTTAGGCTTTTCTGATTATTACACAAAACCCAGAAAGTACAAAAGAAACATGTGACAACTTTATATAAAAATTTATTATGCCTCAAATACCATAAACAATATCAAAGACAAATAACAAAATAAGCAGAAACACTTGGTAAAAAAAATCATAAGGAAATGTGAATTTTTCTAGTATATAAAGAGCTCCTGGACAGCGCAGTGGCTTACACCTGTAATCCCAGCACTTTGGGAGGCCAAGGCAGGCAGATAAGAGGTCAGCAGTTCGAGACCAGCCTGACCAACATGGTGAAACCCCGTCTCTACTAAAAATACAAAAATTAGCTGGGCATGGTGGTGGGCACCTGTAATCTCAGCTACTCAGGAGGCTGAGGCAGGAGAATTGCTTGAACCCAGGAGGCGGAGGTTGCAGTGAGCCGAGATCACGCCACGGCACTCCAGCCTGGGTGACAGAGCGAGACTCTGTCTCACAAAAAAAAAAAAAAAAAAAAAAAAAAAAAAAAAAAACGAAACAAAAAAAAAACCTCCTAAAAATCAAAATCAAAACTCAATAGTTGAAAGTGGGCCTGCAAAGGGCATGAACAAAGAGTTAGCTCATAGAAGAAGAAAATACAAAGTAAACACATGAAAAGATGCTCAAATTAAACTATAAGATGCTACTTTTCACCCAGCAGATTAGCAAAGATCAAAATGCTTGCTAGTGGGCATAGGTGTGAGGAAACAGGCATTCTCATTCATTGCTGATGGGAGTATAAACTGGCGCACTTCTGTTAATGGTGATTCAGTAAGAGCCATCAGAATTTTTAAACTCACATACCCTGTGAACCAGGCATTCCACTTTTAGAATTCTTTCCTACAAACTTACTGGCACCTAACTATACTTCCTTAGCCACCTGCCCCTGTTTATACAAATCACACTCTCCTGGCTATTCCCTCCAGGAAACTGCAAGCTGTAGCCTGTCTACACTACACACCACCTAAGGAGCCTTCATCCCTAAATCCTCCCGAATGGCAACAGAGAAAAAGAACATTGATCATATTTGCTGTTAGGTTGCTCCTTTTCTCATCCACTCTACTCTTCTCTTTTCCTGCCACAACATCACTTACTGTGACTAGTGGGTCCTCCTCCCAGGGACCTTGTGGCCACATGGTCCTCCAATTCCACTGTTTAGGTTCTATGATACAGACTTAAAATCTAAGTAAATTCCAAATTATAATAACTATCTAAGAGACTGAATAAAAAAAAAGTGAGATCCCTCCAAAAAGATTTACCCTAAAATCATTAATCACAAACAGGAAGAAGAAAGTGATTGCTACAAAGAGAATAAAATACCTAGGAATAGAGCTAGCAAGGGAAGTGAAGGACCACTTCAAGGAGAACTACAAGCCACTGCTCAAGGAAATAAGAGAGGACACAAACAAATGGATAGGTATAATCAATGCTCATGCTCATGGATAGGAAGAACCAGTATCATGAAAATGGCAATACTGCCCAAAGTAATTTACGGATTCAATACTATTACCATTAAACTACCATTGACATTCTTCACAAAATTAGAAAAAACTATTTTTTAAATTCATATGGAACCAAAAAAGAACCCAAATAGCCAAGACAATCCTAAGCAAAAAGAATAAAGCTGGAGACATCACACTACCGGACTTCAAACTATACTACAAGGCTACAGTAACCAAAACAGCATGGTACTGGTACAAAAACAGACACACAGACCAATGGAACAGAATAGAGAACTCAGAAATAAGACCACACCCCTACAACCACCTGATCTTTGAAAAAACCTGACAAACACTAGCAATGGGGAAAGAATGTCCTATTTAATAAATGGTGCTGGGAGAACTGGCTAGCCATATGCATAAAATAGAAAATGGACTCCTTCTTTACATCTTATACAAAAATTAACTCAAGATAGGTTAAAGACTTAAATGCAAAACCCAACTATAAAAACCCTAGAAGAAAACCTAGGCAATACCATTCAGGACACAGGCATGGGCAAAGACTTCACATGAAAATGCCAACAGCAATTGTAATGAAAGCAAAAACGGACAAATGGGATCTAATTAAACTAAATAACTTCTGAGGAGCAAAATAAACTATCATCAGAGCAAACAGACAACCTACAGAATGGGAGAAAATTTTTTCAATCTATCCATCTGACAAAGGTCTGATCTCCAGAGTCTACAAGGAACTTAAACAAATTTACAAGAAAAAGAAACAAACCACTCCATTAAAAAGTGGGCAAAGGACATGAACAGATACTTCTCAAAAGAAGACATACATGCGGCCAATAAACATGAAAAAAACTCAGCATCGCTGATCATTAGATAAATGCAAATCAAAACCACAATGAAATACCATCTCACGCCAGTCAGAAGGGTGATTACTAAAAAGTCAAGAAACGACAGATGCTGTCAAAGTTGTGGAGAAAATGGACTGCTTTTACATTGTTGGTGGGAGTGTAAATTACTTCAGCCATTGCAGAAGACACTGTAGCAATTCCTCAGAGACCTAGAACCAGAAATACCATTTGACCCACCAATCCCATTACCGGGTATATACCCAAAGAAATATAAATCATTTTATTATAAAGATACATGCATGCATTTGTTCACTGCAGCACTGTTCACAATAGCAAAGACATGGAACCAACCTAAATGCCCATCAAAGATAGACTGGCTAAAGGAAATGTCGTATATATATACCATGGAATGCTATGCAGCCATAAAAAGGAACAAGATCATGTCCTTCTCAAGGACATGAATGGAGCTGGAAGCCATTATCCTCAGCAAACTAACACAGGAACAGAAAACCAAACACCATGTGTTCTCACTTATAAGTGGGAGCTCAATGATGAGAAAACATGGACACACTGTGGGGAACAACACACACTGGGGCCTGTCAGTGTGGGCAGGGAAAGTATCAGGAAGAATAGCTAATGGATGCTGGGCTTAATACCCAGGTGGTGGGTTGATCTGGGCAGCAAACCACCCTGGCACACGTTTACCTATGTAACAAACCTGCACATCCTGCACATTACCGCAGAACTTAAAAGTTGAAGAAGAAAAAAAAAAAGCTCTGCTAAGGGGGAAAATACATATATACATGTGAGAACTTCTCTAAACCACTAACACCAGAGAGACAAGTCATGGTAATAACAGGTTAACAATTGTTAGATAATGCAATCATCTTGCAGGCACTGTGCTAAGGGCTCTCCATGGACTATTTCATTTATCACTCATAACAACTCTGAGGTAGGGGTAATTAGTTAATCTCATTTTTATAATTGAGGACAATGATGCACAAGGAGACCAGCTCACTTGCCCAAGGTCCAAAGGTGAGTAAGTGGCAGAGTAAGGATGGGTACAATGTCTGCCCCAGAGCCCAGGCACTCCACCGCTAGGAGACATTTTCCTTTAAATCCTAATTATTTTAGAAGCAAGGTAGAAAGTATTGACTAAAGGCTTGCTTGCAGTAAAATGGAACATTGATGCTGAATTAAAGATCCCACAAAATATAGGATGGGAATATTGGGAAATCCCTAAATATTGTTTTTTATCTCGAGGCACCATTTCCACTAACCAGCTCACTCAGATGTTCTATATTGGGCAGAATTTGTTCTTGTAAATGTTGTTTATTCACTGACATTTATCTCACTGGTTTTATCCTCCCTACCTCCCTTCCTCCCAAAGAGAAATTCCTTGCTCAATTTTTGCATGTTCACTTTCTAATTCACTCCCGTCTCTTCTCTGAATGAGCTCTGCTCATGGGTGATCCCACCATTTCTCTGCTCCCGGGGTTGGAGTTCCCTATACTCCAAGCTCCCATCCTCTCAGAACACCCCAAACTGCTCCTCTCAGAGTTAAGTGAGGGACAGATCCATTTCCATCCCATGTTCCTCTAAATTCTGACAACTTTAGTCTTGAGAAAAATACTAATGGGCTTTGATGTCCGTAGTACTTTTCTTTAAATCAATTCCAGAAGTAAATGCTTCATTATAACTTTTGTTCACAGTACTCCAATTATTTCAAAAGCTGCTTTTATCTAGGAGGAAAAAAACCCTCAAGATGGTGGTTTATCATAGAATTGTCAGAAAGTGAATATAAAAATAGGCAGCTAAAAACAATGAGTGGAGAGAAGAAAATAACCTAACCATAATGCATAAGTTAAATAACTTTAAAGAGAACCAAATGTGAAGATAATAGCAGCCAAAGCATTCTTCATTTTTTTTCCCTCCATAGCACTGATCACCATCTGACTTGCTTCGTATTTGCTAATGTGTTTTTCTGTCTCCCCCTCCCACTCTGACCAGAATGTTAGCTCCATGAAGGCAGGAAGCTGAAACATAGTACGTGCTCGATTAAGTACTTGTGGAGTGAGCAAATGAATGAATAAATGAATGAATGAATGCAGCTTCTTTTCTACCACATCATCTCTCACTCCACAAGCAATATTTATTTGCTTTCATGCTCTGGTCAAGATATCTAGAGATCTTCCTCCAAATTCTTCAATCTTTTTAGACTAATTTCAAGGTGGAGAGTCATCTGGTCAGATCTAATTATGAGATGCAGAAAACCTACCAACTTACCATTCCCTAAGAATATGTTCACTCATTCTTTTAGGAAAAAGAAAGGAGGGACAAGGCAAGCAGAAATCATATTTTGATGATGAATTGAATCTATCACAGACAGAATTTTCCAAGCCACTTTTTCACCTACATGAAACAAACTTACACATGCATATCTCACTGGTTCATAAAACAACTGTATTCCTTGTAAATAGCACAAAGTTAATTGTCAAATAAAAAAATAACTAAATTTTTACAGTAGAAATACAGCACCAAAGACCCAGGGGGTTTTCCACACCCTGGACAGTTTGTTAACAGGCACCTCAGTGATCTCAATGCTAAACTCCCTTCAGGTCTAAACTGATTGATTTAAGTTAGACTTCCCGGCTTCACTTCCTTGTGATGACTTTGAATGGCAAAGTGTACCCTCAAGGGCAAAAGGGATGGGTGAGAAAAAAACGTGTTATGCAGTTATGTACTGCGCAACTGCTCTCCTTCCCTGCAGAATACAGACTTTTGATTTAATTAAACCTGAGAAGAGATTCCAAACAAATTTCTATTTGGCATTTTCCAGACCCTATTAACTATCCTCCAACTTTCAAAAATAATAAACAGCATTTAGAGTTCCTGATACCATTCCCATCTCCCCACACAACGTTCCTCATCTTTCCTTGCATTTTCCACCTTCCCTCCACCCCACCCCCCAGCCCCTGCTCCATCAAAGTCACCTGATTGCTGGCACGACCATCATAACTTTAAGTTCCTTCTCAAGCCAGCCCCTCTGTCTAGAATGCCCTTTCTACCCCCTGCCTTATCTGCAAGTATACAGCTGACTACAGTCTCTGTTTATAGCAGTCAGCCTCATTACCAGTCATTGACACATGGGACAAACCCTCACTAGTTTGTGGCTTTCTGGAGGATAGGAATTGTGCTTTTAAAAAAAAAAAAAAATCTTTCATTCCTTGGTACTTAATGCAATGCTTTGCTTATAGAAGGCACTTAATAAATTTTCATTGTTTACTTTGCTGAAACTCATTTGAAAGCAGAAACATTTCCTGGGGTTTTGAATAGAATTTCTAATGAACTACATCAGGATGTCTGCCAATCTCTTTATCCTTCTCAGTATAATTCATAGTCACATTGGTTTGAAAAATTAAACTCTCCACATAGAGCAGAAGCTGCCAATGACAGCACCATAGGTTTTAGATGGTGATTCCCATCTGTTTGTTCAAGGATTATTGGTTATCTGCTCTACAGCAGTCACTAAACCAAGATTTGAGGTACAGAACATATAGTCCCTGCCCTCAAGAAACAAAAAGTCTGTTTGAGAGAGAGAGAGAGAGAGAGAGAGAGAGAGACAAGTAGACAAACAGTCTGTAAGGTCCTGAGGGATACAGAACAACAGAGATAGTATACCTAGCTCAGCTCTGGGCAAAAGAAGTCAATAAGGATGGCAAGTGTCAAAACACTTCCAAGGGAGATGACATCAAATTTGCTTTGAAAGTTTAGTCTGAAGAGAGAAGAGGAAATAGCATGTGCAAAGGCACTGAGGCAAGTGAGAGCACTGTAAATTTCTGAGTATTGCAAATGGTTTTGGTACTCCTAGAGCATTCCATGGAACTTCGGAACCAGACATAGAACAAGGAAGCAAGGGCTGTACACTGTTATGGGCCTGATATGCAAGGCAAAGGAGTGTGGTATTTAATCTGTGATTTGTTCCATGGACACTGTGCTATCCAGGCTGTCAGTTTAAGATTCTAGGAAACAGGTAAGTTTTATCAAAGACACGAATTGTCATTTCATGAATCACAACAATAGTGCAAATAAGTTTAGCTAATTTGTCTCTTCTGTTCAGTCAGGTCACAAAATCAGAAGCTAAAAATAATATCTTCGAAAATTGGAAGATATATGTCACCACGACAGCAAAGGTGCCCTTCTACGAAAAGAATTTCTCAATGGAATAACCACAGGGAAAAAAATCTGCCCAAGCAAACTATTTTTCAACCAGATTCTTTGAGAAATTGTGAATCAGTAAATAGAACACTGGCTGACAATGAAAAGACAACCAACTCCATGAAGTATAAGTAGACTCTGAACTCCTCAAGAGGAGTGGATGTGTCTGGCTGTCTCACCACTAGATCTCTGCTGCTTGGCAGTAGGGTGGACACAATAGGTGCTCAGTAAGTAACAGGTAAATGAGTGAATGGTGAAGGAATTAATTCACAAACATCACCCCCTCTACATAGAAATCAATGATCATTTAAATAGTTTAAGCAAAGGGGAAAAACTATGCATAGTTTTTGTAAAATTCTTTAAATGTTTATAGGAAAAGCAGAATTTCAACATAAAAATGCATTTCCACACAAGCATAAACAAATTACCATAAACATTTGCTTGATATGACTCACTCTGACTGGTACAGCCACGTAATCTGCATGAAATGAACCCAGAAATAATGGACACCAGTGAGACAGATGCCACAAAGCAGATTTGTGAACAATGAATGGCACAGTGTCAGCTGTGTATCATGGAAGGGGCCCCACACTGGGAATGGAGCAGGGTTCTGAGTAAATGAATGCACCTTACACTAAAGTCATCCGGCCCAGGTGCTATGTGAGTCTCCAGCCTTGGGGAAGTCATATCACTTCCTTAACTTCTGTGGAATGAGAGGATTAGGTAAATTGCTCTTTAAGGTTCCTTTTGGTTTTTTTTGAGACGGAGTCTTGCTCTGTTGCCAGGCTGGAGTGCAATGGCGCAATCTCGGCTCACTGCAACCTCCGCCTCCTGGGTTCAAGTGATTCTCTTACCTCAGCCTCCTGAGTAGCTGGGATTACAGGCGCGCCCCACCATGCCCAGCTAATTTTTGTATTTTTCGTAAGATGGAGTTTCACCATGTTGGCCAGGATGGTCTCGATCTCTTGACCTCATGATCTGCCCACCTCGGCCTACCAAAGTGCTGGGATTTACAGGCATGGGCCACCGCCCCTGGCCAAGGTCCTTTTTGATAATCACAAGAGACTTTCCAAAATGTGCCAGGATAAGCAGATAGTCATCATATACATATTCGCCCTGTTCATGAAGGGTACCATGATCACACTTTTCTGAGTAACACTGATGCTCACGTCACTGTCACAGTTCTGGGGGCTTTGCAGGGTCAAAGGAAGTTACAGCCTACTCCCTCCAGGAATGTCTAATATGGGTCAATTGTCTTAGAAATAATCGTTCATCTAGTAGCAAATAGAAGTGAATTAATACTTCACAATTTTTAATGGCTGGGTTACAGTCCTCTGGGATTATCTGGTCCAAGCTTCATGTAGCAGATACAGAATTTGAGTCACACAGCCAGTTAGTGGTGGGGGCTGAACTGGAATCCAAGGGGCTTGAAGATATCTCTCTGTGACTGGCTGTGGTCTCTGATGGTCTCCAGACACTCACTCCCTCTCTGACACTCAGAGGAGGTCCCCTGTGGGGGACCAACAGGAAAGATGTAAGTAACTGAATTCCTACTGTATTACATTATGTCTGCTTTCTATAAGAATGGCTGCTGGCTCACACACACCAAAAGGTCAGTCAGCAGATGCCTAATTAAGGGTTAAAGATTTCTATTAGAGAAAAAGCCCACAAAACCTGTCATTATGTGTTTTTACATTTCTTCGCTCTTCAGACTTAAGAGCAAACAGCCTGACTGGAGAATTAAATGCTAAACATAGGAAGAATGTTCCCCTTTCGTCTTGCATTATTTTGGGGCTGTGATTTGGTTCTCCTCCAAAATTCTGCCATCTCCCTCCAACTCCTAAGAAGTATAACTTGCAATATAAACATTTATGACAGTCTGGATAGATTATTATGCTACTGAGGACATGTTTTTTTCCCTGCAAAACTGATCTAGTAAAGACAGTCCTAAATGAATTTAGTAGGGAGGCACAGATCAAAAATACAGTATTCAACACAGCTCATGAAGCATTTCTCCTATTTTATACAATCTGCCTGAGTTGCCAATTGAATTGCAAGTTCCTTTCCAAGTAGATTACCAGAGCTGGTGCTAGAAGTAGTTCTGAATCTCTGCTGAAGAACAGTCTTCCCTCTAAGAAGCCTCATGTGGGAGTCGCACATAACTCTTTGTACTCTGTAAAAGGGGCTCAAAGAGATGGTAAAAGGGATTATATTGGCTAAATAATATTGGGAAAAGCAACATAAAAATTCAGCCAACATTCTAATGATATGGTTCATTCAGTTACCAAAGAAAAGCTGTATCACATAATCAAATGATTTTACTTTATAACACCCATAAACTCCCCCTCTTAACACAAAGACCTTTTAGACAGTAAACATATCAAGGTTTGAGGGCAGTCCAACCTAGACAGATCCAGAATGTCATTAATTAAAATGCAAAATCAATTCTATTTCTGGTCCTGGTAATCAACTATGGAAAACAGTTTCAATGATAAGAATGCCTGCAGAAGTATGAGGTTATATTTATACTAACAGAAACAATTTCTTCCCTCAGTTACATGATTATGGTTTCAACATTTGGAGTTTGGTTACTAAAAGAAAAGCTGTAATCATCTCTTCATTAATTGTTGTACATTTTTCACTGTCTGAGTTTGTCTGTGTACATGTAGGCATGTTCACATATATAAAATGGCAAAAGTGAAGAAGAGAGAAAGCAGAAGGCAAGAGGACTTTAAAAGGGAGACTTGGTTTATAATTTAAGCTGCAAGTTTCAAATTAAACCACCACCAAAAGAAACAGTGAAAGCACAGTTTTGATGATAGTTGTAATTAAAGAGTGTAAAAAAAAAAAGAATAACTGCATCAACTGCATCTACACCAATCTAGGTGTTTCCAGACCCATTTTAAATAACTTCAATTTGCTAAGTCTGCAAGCAAAATCAGTTGCAAGGCATAGCAGCAAAATAAATACACACAAAATGTTGCAGTGACTTCATCACACCAAGAGGCTACAGGCTCCGCTCAGCACAGCTTTTATCAATTTTTCCTGCAGTAGTTTTCTATGCTGCTTTCAGAGACCCTGCAAAGGAATTAACATGACACCATGCTGTGAGACAAGGAAATGCTGAAAAATGCACTCTCCCAATTCAAAGAAATTCTTAAAGGCATTATCTGGAAGTGGGGTCTAGGAAGTGGGGAAATCCTTACCAAAAAAAAAAAAAAGCCAGTTAAAGCAATATCTGAGGAATTTTCCTTCTGTTCTCCAAATGGGCATGCTACAACAATTTTTTAAGTATATACAATTGACACAGTACAAACAACAGTACATTTGTGTACACGCTTGTATATGTGTGTATATATATATATATACACACACATATATATAAACAATTGCACATATATATACAATTCTGATTGCATAGGTACACAATCTGTTTAGCAAAATAAAGGAAACCTAAATAATGTTTTTTCTCAAGGCTAAAGTTGCTACTAATTAAAATGAAATATGTTCTAAATGATTCTGAAATTGCCTGCAGTGAGAAATACTGAGTCTATTTCCATGACACCCAAGCTGATTCTAACACTTTCCATCTTAATGAGTATCCTCAGTTGAGTTACCAGGCACTATATAACATCCTTTCAATTAGAAAAAGAGAAAAAAAGATTAAGCAAAGTAAGAACACACCATTAAGGATGAAAGTAAACAGCTAAACATTAAAGAATTAAAGAGGAAGCAGAGCAGTCTGACAGTCAAATTACAATACAGTATTGCCGCGAACCACAATCGAGTGTAGGGAAGAGTGGATATTAGAACAGCTAAGCCAAGCAATGCTGATAATATTTTAAAAATTGTTTTGAATTTTTTTTTTTTTTGCTGTTAACCTCTGTGCTGGTTTTACTCTTGAACAGGGCTAACATGTAAACATCTACAAATTCTTGTTTTTTATTTAAACGTATGCTTTTACAAATGCAAGGAACCCTTCACTGAAATAAAAAACAAACAAAAACAGAACAACAACAAACGCATCTACTTTGGACCCAGAGAAGAAGGTAAAGGCATATGTCTGATGTCATCACCACTATTTCAAGAAAAATCCACATGAACAGGGGACATAAAAGTAGTGAAAATGAGCAAGCAGTTAGGGAACTTTACATTCCAAACTCCCAAAGAGCAGGAGGAGAGACTGGAAATTTCACCCCACATTCTCTCCCCTCACTTATCACAAAAAATCACATTGTATTAGTTCAGTACCTTATGAATCAGAGACTGAATTACATTTGGCAAGAACCCTCTCTAGAGTGAAATGGACCAGAATGGAAAAACCTACACAAATAAGATAACCCACCTCCGGTCCAAGACTTGAAAATAACTAAATAGAATTACAACTGCGAAGCTATTCTTTGGAATGATGCTTTGACCAAAATAGTTCGACACACCTGCTACCAAAAAAAAAAAAAAAAAATCCCTGTTAAGAGAGACTCCTGCAACGCACAGGAGTGAAACTAATAAAATGTTCTTGGTTTCCTTTGGGCGTCAAGAAGCTGCCAGTAATAGACTTGAAGTTGTGATGCTCTTTGCAGCAAACCTCAGGAGACCAGGTGAAAAATTAGAGCACTATTGTAAGAGTAATGTCCCTGGAATAAACAATCTGCCACATCCATAGTCTTCGTCAGAAACCTGCTTATGTTCTCCTAGAAAAGTCTAACCATTCTAATAACCTCAAAGTATTTTATCTCCTAGCAGGAGGACAAAACTATGTTGTCAACTCAAAAATGTTCCTGTCATCACTGCCCTACCACTCTCTGAAGAGCCTGTAAAATATGGTTTGCAGAACTGGGTACCCTGAGACTCAGAAGGGAAAGAAGCAATGAGGTCATGCAGTCTACTCCGTCTGCCAGCTCAGGATTCCTCCTGCTGAGAATGTTCCTGCCCAAGTTGTAAACCCCACAAGATATAGGGTCATCCCAGACCCACACGGGCAGGTGCAGAAAACACAGCTGCCCACAGCAGACTCAACATAACTCACACGTGTGTGCTCATCTTTATCCACAAAGATGGAAGAGTTTGCTATGTGGGCAGGTCACCCCCGGCCCTTCTGATCCTGAGTGAGTGCCCCTGGCACACTGAGGATTCATCCTGCCCAAATTTGTCAGTCATCCTCCACAGATTCCCTGCACGCTGCTGCAGTTTACCATCGTGAACACATTTCCCCGGCTGCTGCTTCAAGGACAAAGACAGAGCACTTATATTCGTATCACAGCAGAAGAGCTCACGTTTATGGAAAAAAGATAAAAAGACAAACACTCCAGGCAAATGACCCCTGGCATTTTTGAAGCTGGATCATCCCAGACAAGATCCATGAAAACAGAGGAAATGCAGAAGGAAGGTCACTAAGCTTAGCTGGGAAGAGGGGGAACGAACGGTTCAGTTCACTGCAGCAACAGAGCAGCTCATTCAACGTAAGCACTTACCATAAAAATAGAAAGAGTCAACAGAAGGAGAAGGGATCCTTCCTCAGTGCCTTGGTGTCTTCGGCAGAAAGAAATCCACTGTGAACCTCCAGGCTCCAGTCGGGAGGAGGCCAGCAAAGTGATGACAGGCAATAAAACCACCACACACAAGTCCTTTTCAGCCTCCCCTCGGGCCGTATGCAGTTGTTTGTGCTGTAAAAACCCTGAGAAGTCTGGAACAGGACTCTCCGGAGAGCGAGCCGGAGTGAAAGCAGCCTGGTGGATTTCACCACCGTCTCAGAGCATCACGCCCAGGACTGGTCCTCCCCCTCCCCAGGTGCAGGGGAGGCATGGTCGGGGGAGGGTGGGCACTAGGCTGGGCTAGGAAAGGCGAGAAGAGGGATGAAAAGGAGTCTCTTTAGAGTGGAAGGAACTGCCGGAGAGAACATCAGTATTCCATATCAGTTATTGCCAGCGACCAATCAGCCCAGCCAGGGGGCCGTGTCAGTGTGACAAGAGAGCAGCAGATGACAGCCAGTTCTGAGAGCGGCAGGACAACCCCCTGCCTGGAAAAGAAATTTGGGAGGATTGGCAACTTATCCTCTCCACTGCTGCTGTTAATGTTTGCTTGTATTTAACAAAGATCTAAAGCCCCATAGTTACACTAGCCATGCAGGAAGTTTTTGAGGCATCCCACAGCATCTCTGCAAGAAGCCAGACTTGAAGTCCCCTAAATGATGTCTGATGGCATGTCACAGTCCAGACAGCCCTACTGATGTGCCTTCAAGGGGTCATCATGAGTACAGTAATGGCGCTTTGGACCTAAGCTTCTTTATGCCCAAAGTGCAGGATAAGATGACCAGTGACCCGGCTTTCTATTTCAGAAGTGAAAAATTTAAGACAGAGAAGGGTCAAAGGTCTCTCCAGGAATTTGACTGTCAATCTTCATTAGTTTTCTTGTATAATATAGGTATAGAAATATTGTTAGAGGTGAGCTTCTGAAGATAGTTAACATGTCCCTTTTAGAGCTCTTAAATCACCTATAAGACAAAATATGTGTTTGGGATAAACAATAATAACAATTCATAAACACACTGAAAATTGAGAAATTCTGACTTACACTAACAGAAGGAGCAAAGGAGCAAATCTCTTGGTGATAAATGAAGGATGCGTGGAGGACTCTAAACTTTTCCTACTTCCCTTTTCCCCTATTCTAATATTGAACTTATAAACTTTGTCCATATATATTAATTAATTTGTATTTGGTTGTGATGATTACATTATATAGGGATGTAGTTTCTGAAGTTAAATGCCAGTTTAATTGGACTCCACAGTAAAACTTCAGAACTTTTTGTAAGATGGGGAGATTGTCTTGGGCCACCTTTTTATCACTGCAGAAAAGATAACTCCCTTTAGTCAGTCAAGAGTTAACAGGAATATACAAATGCCCTCGGGTTTTGTTTTCTGTTTTTTTTTTCCAGGTGACTTACATGATGTAGAGTTTTTAATTTTAGTTGTCTGTTTTTACCTAGAAGTTGGAATACCATTTGCACATTTTGCTGTGATCTCTACCCGTAGGCAAGCTGA